>NC_000010.11:18040303-18191818 GCF_000001405.40 Homo sapiens | reverse complement strand
CTGTGGTATATTTATACAACTGAATACTACTCAGCCATAAAAAGGAATGAATTAACAGCATTTGCAGTGACCTGGATGAGATTAGAGACTATTATTCTCAGCGAAGTAACTCAGGAATGGAAACTCAAACATTGTATGTTCTCACTGATATGTGGGAGCTAAGCTATGAGGACAAAAAGGCATAAGAATGCTACAGTGGACTTTGGGGACTTGTGGAGAAGGGTGGGAAGCGGTGAGGGATAAAAGACTACAAATAGGGTACAGTATATAATGCTCAGGTGATGGTGTACCAAAATTTCACAAATCACCACTAAACAACTTACTCATGTAACCAAATACCACCTGTACCCCAATAACTTATGGAAAAAAATAAGAAAGAAAAAAAAACTAGATGTACAGGTGTTTTGATCTTCTTCCCACCTTCATCAATCACTGAAACAAGAAGCACAGGGCTGCAAAAGCAGCAATACACGGGGGGCAGCTGGTGTCAAGTTCTAGTTCCTTCCCCAGCTCTGTGTCATGGGACAAATCCTTTAGCTTCTCTGAATCTCAGTATTTTCATTCATAAAATATAGATAGGAATGGCTACCCTATTTATCTACAGGGTTATTCCAATTGTCAAAGGAGAAAAGAAACATAAAAGCACTTAGTAAATATCCAGCTACTGAGTCCTGTCTGTTTCTTCCTCCTAATATTGTTTGAATCCATTTATTTTCCTTCTCCTCCATTTTCACTCTCCCAGTTCCTGACGTCATCATTGTCCCGCACCTGGTTTACTGTAACCTTCTAAGGCAGCCTATTCACAGCTTGCGCGTTTCCCATGCATTCTCTGCTCTGTCAGGAGATGATCTTTCAAAACCAAATCTAATGATATCACACCTCTGCTTAAAACCCTTTTCTAGTTTCCCATTGCCCTTGGAGCAAACTCCTAATATGGCTTCAAGACCTTTGCTGATACAGACTCATCTTATCTTTCCTGCCCTTCCCTTGTCAACACCTAACCTGGAGTTTCTTGAACTCTTCATGCTGCTTGAAATAGTTTCCCCATCTCTCCACTTCCCATCACTCCTACTGCTACCACCTTCTCAAACCCTTGGCCTGAATAAATTCGATCAAATTCCATCATGAGGTTTCAGTAGGACATAAATCAATATATGCATCCCAAAAGTCTGGAAGAACATCAAAGTACAATATCTGGGAGGTTGTGGATTGGGCATTTGCTACTTTTTGCTATATTTATTTTTTAGTTTCTCCTCAATGAATAGGAATTACTCATTAAATAAATTAGTAACTATTTTTAACAGCATGCTATGAGCATTCAATTCTTGTTTGAAGCAATTGTTTGCCTCTTCCAGGACGTCTCCCATGACCATTCCCTCCAAGTCTTCTTACACAGAAGGGTCACTCTCGGGGCAGGGTGGGTGGAGAATACATGACAGGTGGGGGACTGGGTCCTCTCCTCTTGGAATAGTAACTGAAGGGAATACACTGAGGGACTGGAAGCGACCCCTGTGCCATCATGTTCTTGAACCCTCTGTATCTGAGAAAACCTACGTTATTGTATCTGTATTACTGGATGAATCTCCTTGCCTGTGGGTCATAGGTGCAAATCCCAGAGAGCATGTCCCTTTCTGATAGTGTTTATTGAGAGCACGCAGAGGATGCGGACATGAGCTAAATTTAGCCAGGGGTCTCAAGGAGCTCCACCCATGAAGGGCTTCGGGGGTAAGAGAATCAGCTCCTTGCTTCTTTGTCCATAGCACATCCCCAGTGCCTGTCCAAACTCTGTGAGATCATCATTCAAGTGCTGAAGATTAACAGCATTTGCTTACGGGCTTTCCGTACATACTTATGAACTCAACTGTCTAAAAACACAGTATCTTCAAGGTGCCCAGGGTGTCGGGAAACAACTTAAAACCAACAATCACTTTTCTTTGCCTAGTAAACATGCAAAGATCTCAAGGAATAACATCCAGTGTTGATCAAGATGTGATGGAAAACGCAGTGGTGATCTAAACTGGTCCAGTGTTCTAGGAGGAAAAGTTGGCAATATGTAACAAAAGCTTGAAAAGTATTCACACTGTTAATGCTGAAAAATTCAAATTCTAAAAAGATATCTTCAGGCAATAATCTGACACCAATGCTCACCATTGCACTACTTTTAATAATGAAAAAATTAAAACAACACAATTTTTATAATAAAAAAGTATTTAAACTATGGTACTACTACAAAATCAAATAGTATCCTGCCATAGCAAACGCTAGGAGAAAAAATTCTGTTGAACAAAATAGAAAAGGGTTCACAGTATTCAACTTAATCAGGAAAATAAGCTACTGAACAATGCAAATAATATGAAGTCATTTTGCATAAAATATATACATATATCCCCAATTTAAATACATGCATCCAAAAAACTCTGGAAGAATGTAAACTTACAATATCTGGGAGATTGTGGATTGTGCATTTATCACTTTCTGCTATATTATTTTTGAATTTCTCATCAATTGATATGAATTACTCATTAAATAGATTAGTAGCTATTTTTAATGACACGTTCATGAGCATTAAATTCTCGTTTAAGAGCCCTGAAAGCCACAACTGAAATTATGAAATTAGAAGTCTGTAAAAGCCCAAGATTTTCAAGAAGAAACTACTTTGAGGAATTTTTTTTTAAAAAAACAAACAATCTGTAGTTGGACACAGTAGTACACACCTGTAGTACCAGCTACTTGGGAGGCGGAGGCAAGAGGATGGCTTGAGCCCAGGAGTTGGAGGCTGCAGTGAGCTATATGATCAGTACACTGCACTCCAACTTGGGTGACAGAGTGAGACCCTGTCTCAAAAATATAAATAAATAACAATAGACAATCCTCTCAAGTGCGGTTCTTATCCCTTCTCAGAGTCTATTCTGGTACTAATGTGAGTTCAAGTTTCATAGTATGATCCACACACACGCATAGAACTAGTCCCCAGTCTTAACAGTGGTGATCTCACTATATAATTGTCTTTTTTTTCTATACTAAGTAGACATTATTTTTATAATCAGAGAAAACCTATTTTCATTCAAAATATCCCTTCCATGTGCTATAACGAGATGATTTCATTATAAGATTGAAAATTTTTCTCCTTATACTTGCCTGTATTTCCCAAATTTTCCAAAATAAGCATATACTATTTTCATAATTTAAAAAATTATCAGAAATACACAAAGAAGGCCGGGCACAGGGGCTCATACCTATAATCCCATCACTTTGGGAGGCCAAGGCAGGAGGATCTCTTGAGCCCAGGAGTTCCAGAGCAGCCTGGGCAACACAGTAAGACCCTGTCTCTATAAAAAAATAGCCAGGCATGTTGGCATTTGTGTGTACCTCTAGTCCTAGGCACTTGGGAAGCTGAGGCGGGAAGATTGCTTGAACCCAGGAGTTGGAGGCTGCAGTGAGCTATGATTGCACCACTGCATCCCTGCACAACAGAGTGGGACTCTGGGAAGGAAGGCAAGAAGGCAGGAAGGCAGGTGGGCAGGAAGGAAAGGAGGCAAGAAGGAAAGGAGGCAAGAAGGAAAGAAGGCAGGTAGGCAGGCAGGCAGGCAGGCAAGACGGAAGGAAGGCAGGAAGGCAGGAAGGAAGGAGATAAGCAAGCAAAATGGCCCTGTAAAGTTTGCTAAAAATTCTGAAGCTCTGAAAGAGCTATTTTAAAAGATTTAAAATAATAAATAGAATTTCTGGTGGTACATTTGTTGTTGATGTCAATTAACAGAAATACAAAACAGTATACAAATGTCACCAAGCAGATCCTACTCTCTACCTTAATCCAAACAATATTTCAGCAGCTCAAGAAACCCACACTGCCGCCATCACTCTCAGCCTTGTTCGCCACCACCACTGTTGTCAGCCCTTCATTTAAGACTTCTCCACAATTACATGTGGATTTTCCTAAAAAGGCAGAAACATTTTGAAGGCCAGAGATTAGGCATTTTTGCATCCTTCACAAGAGCATCGTTCGGTCTTTATAAAGTCATTTGACTCTGAGCGTGTCATATCGAAAACACTCTTAAAAGATGATGCACCACGTTAAGTAACTGAATGTACTAGAAGAACAGCTTGAAACAAAGATAATTCATTTTATTAGATTAAAAAGCATTCCCCAAAGACTGTTTTTCCTCTCAGGACCATGGTGTATAATACAGTTAAATGCCTTCTCTAAAATTTCACTAGATGATAGTTAAAAAAAAAGAAAAATATAAGAACCCTCTATGTTTTGACTTAAAATCTGTTTTCCTAAAAAGAATCCTTTCTTTTTCTTACTAACACAGTCACTTTTAAAATATTGCCGTAAATCTATTTCTTCTCATTTTGGTGATTCAAACAAAGTGTTAGAAATTTGATACATAACAGCATATTTTAGCTTATCTTAGCAAAATCTAATGCATAGTGCACATTCTGAAAATGTTAAGGCAGGTCAATTGGATGGGCTTTTTCAGATTAATGTATGCTCACTTACTACCATTTACAAGAAGAATATCAAATTCCAATAACAGAATGTGCCCAGTGTTAAGTGAGGTTCTCCTAGCTGCCATCCCCACGGTAGGTTCTTCTCAGTTAACCCCACTCCTGCTGCCCAGACTCACTGGCCTTCCTCCTGACCCATCTTGATGGCTGTGAACTCTACCTCCTGTGTTGCCTCTCAGCTCAAGCATCACTTCTACCAGGAAGCCTTCCCTGACCACCCAGCCTAGACTGATTCCCCTCTCATGGCTCATAGCTCCCTATACCCTCCCTTCTTAGCACTTTCCATGGTTCGTCACCCATGGGCTTATTTTAATTCATTAACATCCTGTTCCTGCTCAAGGCCATAAGCTCCATGGAAGCAGATAATGTGTATCTTACTATTAAACCCCTAGGGCGCTACATAGTGACAGTTGTACAAAAGCTGCCCCATTCGTTTTATTGACTGATTTTATTTGAACACATGATAGTAAGTGATATGGTTTGGATCTGTGTCCCTGCCCAAATCTCATGTTGAATTGTAATCCTCAGTGTTAGAAGTGGGGCATGGTGGGACATGACTGGATCATGGGGGTGGATTTCTCATGAATGGCTTAGCACCATCTCTCTTGGTATTGTCCTCATGATCCTGAGTGAGTTCTCATGAAATCTGGTCTTTAAAAGTGTAATACCTCCCTCCACCCTCTCTTGCTTGCTCCTGCTCTGGACATGTAAGACATGCCTTCTCCCCCTTTGCCTTCCACCATGACTGTAAGTTTCCTGAGGCCTCCCCGGAAGCTGAGGAGATGCCAGCATCATGCTTCCTGTACAGCCTGTGGAACTGTGAGCCAATTAAACTTCTTTTCTTTAGAAATTACCCAGTCTCAGGTATTTCTTTCTTTCTTTTTTTTTTTCAGACGGAGTTTCACTCTTGTTGCCCAGGCTGGAGTGCAACAGCATGATCTCAGCTCACCGCAGCCTCCGCCTCCCAGGTTCAAGCAATTCTCTTGCCTCAGCCTCCCAAGTAGCTGGGATTACAGGCATGCACCACCACGCCCAGCTAATTTTGTATTTTTAGTAGAGATGGGGTTTCTCCATGTTGGTCAGGCTGGTCTCGAACTCCTGACCTCAGGTGATCCGCCCACCTTCACCTCCCGAAGTGCTGGGATTACAGGTGTGCGCTACCATGCCTGGCCTCAGGTATTTCTTTATAGTAATGTGAGAATGGTCTAATAAAGAAAAATTATATTCCCTTCATTCCAAAGATAACTTCCATGTGGCAGACACACATTTATTCAAATATACATTTGTGTCTCTGTTCACATGTCAACTAAAAGAAGCTTTCTTTGAGTAACACCTCCCACCAGCCATTCTTTATCACCTTACGATGACTTCCTCAAACCACCAATCACCCCTGACTCACACTTACCTGTTCACTCTCTGTTGGCACCATCAGCATGTCATCTCCATGACAACATGATTTTGTTTGCTTTGTTCTCTACCATATCCCAAGCACCGAGAACAGTTTCTGGCACATGGTAGGCACAGAATAAATATTTATTAAATGAATGAATGTGCTGGGTATGCAAAGAAAGCTACGCAAATGGGAATCCCACTCACACACCCTATTTCTACTTTCTGATCATCTCTGCCATCAGTTGCCAACCTTTTGTCAAGGTAAAAGATGTATTTTCATTTCTGTTTTCCAAATGCAAGCTATTGACCTCAGTACTATTTCAGTTAGTATATAAAAACAAGTACCCTGCTAGAAACTGTGTCCAAAACAGTCCAAGATGCCAGAACAAATTCATTCCTTTCAACATTTCCAGGGCAACAGCAAATCCAAGATGACCTTCAAGTTTGCTTTTGCCAAAATGCATTATAACCCTGCTCAAATAAATGTTCACCAGAAGCATCTGAGCTCACCAGATAAATGGAATTTAAATAACACATTTCCTATCTGGAAATACTCTGTATACAATTTAACTCATCTGATTCTGTTAATAAATTTTAGGTTGAACAGAATCAAGCTACCAACAAACTTTTTAAATTTTGTTTGCTGTATACTTTAAAAAGGTGAATTTTAAGGTTTATGAATGATATCTCAATTTTTAAAAAGTACTAATGGAAAGAAATTCTACAAAATATCTAACTGGTAATCTTCAAAACCGTCAAGGTCACCAAAAACAAAGTCAAGTGCGTGTGGTGGCTCACGCTATAATCCCAGTACTTTGGGATGGGCCAAGGTGGGAGGATTGCTTGAGCCCAGGAGTTTGAGACCAGCTTGGGAAACATAGTGGGATTCTGTTGCTACAAAAAATGAAAAATTGGCCAGGCGTGGTGGTGCATGCCTGTAGTCCCAGCTACTCAGGAGGCTGAAGTGGCAGGATTGCCTGAGCCTGGGAGGTTGAAGCTGCAATGAGCCATCATCAGGCCACTGCACTCCAGCCTGGGCAACAGAGAGAGCATCAGGAAAAACAGCTAATGCATGCTGGGCTTAATACCGAGGTGATGGGTCGACATGTGCAGCGAATCATCATGGCAGGTGTTTACCTAGGTAACAAACCTGCATGTCCTGCACCTGTATCCTAGAACTTAAAATTGAATTGAATTGAATTGAATCGAATGAAATTAAAAACAAGCAAATACACAACACTGAAAAAAAAAAAAAAAAAAAAAAAAAACAAAGTCTGAGAAACTGTCCCAGGCAAGTGAAGCCTAAAAAGACTGTATCCTAAATGTAATGTGACATTTAGGATAGGGTCCTGGAACAGTAAAAGTAACTTAAGGAAAAACTGAGAAAATTTGAATAAAGTATGGACTTTAGTTGGTTAGTATATCAGTATTAGTTCATTAATTATAACAAAGGTACCATACTTATACAAGATGTTAATAATAGGGGAAACTGAGTCTAGGGCTTATGAGATTTCTGTACCATCTTCACAATAATTTGATAAATCTAAACTTGTCATAAAGTAAAAAGTAAATTACAAAAAGCATTTTTCATTTCCTTTTCTGTTTTAAACTTAGGTGCTTAATACTTCCTATAACCATGATGCCTCAGAAATAGAACTGTAGGTTTGTCATCATCTCAAGAAGTCCTGTCTTTCTCTTGCAGGTTTTAATCCCATGCAACAAAGTTCAATGAGTATAAACTGATCATCTACCATAGGTCTGGCATTGGGGTAAGTTTAGAGTGAATACAAAGATGATTAAAATTAAATCCATACTTTCCTAAAAGATGAATGCCCCAGTGCAGCAAGTTCTGTTAATAAGAGCTAACCTTGGCTGGGCACTGTTTTAGCATTTTTCTTGGATTAACACTTTTAATCCTTTCAACAACTCAATTAGATAGGTACTATAATTGTTTCATCTGCACAGAGGAGCAACGGAGCTCTAGAACAATTCAGTAACTCTCCTGGGCTTGCAGAGCTAGTGAATAACAGAGGTGGCATGTGGCATTAAAGTTAGGGCATTCGGTGAACTACCTGTACTATGCACCACTACACCATTGTACCACTCGGCCTCCTAGGGCACCCATAGGTTCACATCTAGGAGAATCCCTGCACTTCCATATATGTGGCTGATACGGTTTGGCTTTGTCCCTACCCAAATCTCCTCTTGAGTTGTAGCTCCCATAATTCCTGCATGTCATGGGAGGGACCCAGTGGGAGATGACTGAATCATGGGGGTGGGTTTTTCCCATGCTGTTCTCATGACACTGAATAAGTCTCACCAGATCTGATGGTTTTATAAAGAGGGGTTCCCCTGTACAAGCTCTCTCTTGCCTGCTGCCATGTAAGACGTGACTTGCCCTTCCACCATGATTGTGAGGCCTCCCCAGCCATGTGGAACTGGGAGTCAATTAAACCTCTTTCCTTTATAAATTACCCAGTCTCGAGTATGTCTTTATTTGCAGTGTGAGGATGGACTAATACAGTGGCAAAATGTGAAGCAGACTTTAAATGACCAGCAGGAGTTTTTTAATGAAAAAAAATAATAAAAAAGAACAGGCAGAAGGAGAGGACAGAAAACAAATGTTACAGAGGCAGAAAAGCCTGATGATAGCTGTCTGCTTCAGCTATAATTTAGAGAACTCAGACTATATGGCAGACATGGTCCTAAGCACTTCACATATAATATCTCATTTAATCCTGGTGTGTGGGTTGATACTGGGATCTGCGTTTTACAGATGAGAAAGAAGAGCCTTGAAAAGTTACCACCACTATCAAATAATACTTGGCTGCAAAATGAGGATTCCAACAGGTCTGCCCAGCTGCACAAATAATCTCTCAACCACAATGCCCCTCTGCTTCTCCTAATTAAAAAAAAAAAGATGTTACAATTCAATTTGTATACTATTTTCTCAGCTATTGTATATGTATGTAATAATTACATATGCATGAGTGTAAGAGATTGAGATAAAAGGATTTGGGTAAAAAGACCCCAAGATATTAATAATGTTAACGCTTCAGGTGAAGGAAATTATGGGTTTTTGTTTTTTTTTTTTTTGAGACAGAGTCTCATTCTGTCACCTAGGCTGGAGTACAGTGGTGCGATCTTGGCTCACTGCAACCTCTGGCTCCCTGGTTCCAGCAATTCTCCTGCCTCAGCCTCCCGAGTAGCAGGGATTACAGGTGCACGCCACCACGCCTGGCTAATCTTTTGTATTTTAGTAGAGACGGGGTTTTACCACGTTGCCCAGGCTGGTCTCAAACTCCTGAGCTCAGGCAATCTGCCCACCTCTGCCTCCCAAAGTGCTGGGATTACAGGTGTGAGCCACCACCTCCTGCCTGGGTGATTTTTTTTTTTTTAATCTTCTTCCTGAAATGCTTTTCCTTTTTCAAATTTTCTATTACAGGCATGTGTTACTTTTGTGCTTACAAAAATTGCAACATAATGAATTATTATTGAACTCAAAGTTTTCGGATTGCTATAAAATGTTACCTACGTTTTTATATTTTACATTTTTACCCCTTCTACCTTATTTCAAAAAAAAATTTTTTTTTGAGGTGGAGTCTTGCTCTGTTGCCCAGGCTGGAGTACAATGGTGCAATCTCGGCTCACTGGTCTCAAACTCTTGACCTCAGGTGGATGCCCGCCTCAACCTCCCAAAGTGCTGCTATTACAGGCATGAGCGACTGTACCCGGCCCTTACTTCAAAATTGATAAACACCCCAGACATAATTGGGCCAAAGGGAAGGTGGCTTAGGGTATGCTCAAGGGAGGCTGTTTCTGCCAGTGACCCAGGAAGGTCCTCCTCAGATTCATAGTCTTTCACTGCCCTGCAGACCTATTCTTTGGTACCAAAATCAGCCCACACAACACAGACAAGCCACGTACTAGGAGAACCCCACAGGGTCACTAATTTTTCTGAGGATTTGTTTGGAAGCTGTTTAAAGTTGACCTCAAGGCCGGGCACAGTGGATCACGCCTGTAATCTCAGAACTTTGGGAGGCCAACATGGGAGAATTGCTGGAGGCCAGGAATTCAAGGTTAGCCTGGATAACATGTCAAGACTCCATCTCTGTAAAAAAAAAAAAATACAAAAATTAGCAGGATATAGTTGCATGCGCCCATAGTTACAGCTGCATGGGAGACTGACGTGGGAGGATCGCCTGAGCCCAGGAGTTCCAGGCTGCAGTGAACTATGACTGAACCACTGCACTCCATCCTGGGTGACAGAGTGAGACCCTGTCTCAAAAATAAAATAAAATAAAATAAAATAAAATAAAATAAAATAAAATAAAATAAAATAAAATAAAATAAAAAAGTTATCCTCAAATTTCAAAACTCTGACTACCGGCCATTTTTTCAAAAAATGGCAAAAGAGTACTGCAAATAGGTAATTTTCTCAAAGGGCTAACTTTAGCAGACTTCTATAAGGAAGGGTACCAAGTTCCTTACGGGCAGAGAGGTTTAACCAGGGCTACAGTCTTGCATCTTCTCACTATTAAGATTGAGCTTCTTGTGAAAAACTTAAGTCAATGGGAAGAAAGAAAGAAAAATAAGATTCAGCTTATTGATTTGTGAGAATGTCTTAAAATTTGCAGTGTGAGGGTGGACTAGCTTTTGCTAAGAGGGAAGTTTCATGGGAGAAAGTAGGGATCTAGGTAAGGTCATTCCAGTGCTTGCATGTACTCAGATGCACAGTTCTAGAGGGCAAGGTGACCCTGGGTCAATGGATACCAAGGACAGAGACAGAAGAAAAGGGAAGGAGAAATGGACCCTCTCAAGATATGCTTGACCTCTTTTTTTTTTTTTTTTTCTATTTTGGCTAAAAGCCTCAATGTAAATCCTTGAGGGGAAAATAGCCTCTGCTCCATTTTCTTATATTTCTTTTTTTGTTTTGTTTTGTTTTGTTTTTTGAGATGGAGTCTCGCTCTGTTGCCCAGGCTGGAGTGCAGTGGTGTGATCTCGGCTCACTGCAACCTCCATCTCCCGGGTTCAAGCGATGTTCCTGTCTCAGCCTCCTGAGTAGCTGGGATTACAGGCATGTGCCACCATGCACAGCTAATTTTTTGTATTTTTAGTAGAGATGGGGTTTCACTATGTTAGCCAGGATGGTCTCGATCTCCTGACCTCGTGATCCGCCGGCCCGTGCCTCCCAAAGTGCTAGGATTACAGGAGTGAGCCACCGCGCCTGGCCTCTTCTATTTCTTTGACTGAGTTTTCAGGATTTTCTCAGCATCTGCTCTGTGCCAGACATTGATGTGTGGTTTACACTGTCCCTAATCCTCGTAACTGCCCCATGAGGGAGGGATACAATTTTCCCATTTTGCAGATGAAGACAGTGAAGATCAGGGAGGTTGACCTCTGCGACGCAACAGGATTTGTGACCGTAAGACCCAAGGTTAAAAGGCAGCCTTAAAAAAAAAAAAAGGCAGCCTTACCCAGTCCACATTCTCCCATTATATCATCCTGCCTGACGTAAAAGAAAAAGACAAGGAGATTTGAAGTACTGCCTACTTATTAAAGGAGTTAAACATTTCATCTAGTGCAATGGATCGAATAGTCTTTCCATCTGGGAAGATGGCCCCATCACAGGCTCTTAGACCACCCCTCTGTCTGTTGCAGAGAAGCCAGAGTGATGTGCGGTATGTCATTCCCCTCCAGCCTGCTACAGTTCTATGTTGGCAAAATATAAGATCATTCCTCTCCCTCCAGAGAGCAAAAGGCAAATGAGGCTAGTAGGTTTCTAAACTACAGTCTTATATGGCCTCGGAGTTCTCCCTTGCATAAATACACGCTGATACGCTAAATCAGAAGCCAAGAAGAGAAACTATAAATAGCCCCAGCTCCAGCCAGCAGAGGAAGCAGACCTGTAGTCATGCCAACTAGTGCATATAAGCACAGGAATGGAATCTTCAGGACACGTCCTTTTTGCAAGCCTCATCTATACCAAGGAGAATACTATGAAAAATAACACGCCCCTCTGTCACCAGTGAGCTACAAGTGGAATTCTGCTAGTAAGGGAAAGGTAAAATTCACAACTTAGACTACTGGAGAGGAAATTTAGTTTGAGTGACTTGTCTGAACTGAAAGAGTTTTAATATTATTCTTTCTGTTTAAAGCAGATTTTAAATATTGGCATGCACGTGTTTACTCACAAGCAAAAGGAAAGAACCGGTATGCAATCAGGCATCATACAAAAAGTTAAACACCAAACTAAAGCACACAGTGCTAAATTAAGCACTTGGAAGAAATCCCTGAATTAAAAAAAAAAAAAATCTGCTGATTTGAGCTTATCTTTACCCGAAGATCCTAAAAAATTTAATGAAAAGATAAACATGCATGTATTACTATAGCACTTTCAGAATCATTTGGTTCCAAAAAACTGAACCTGACCACAAAAATCAAAGTTTTATTCAGCAATGACCAGGTAAGTTACAGACTAAATGGAAAGAACATAATGGTTGGGGTGGGATGCAGGGAGAAAAACAGGAACAAGAGCAGGGTAACTGACTCACTGTCCCTTTTACCCAGAGGCACGGAAGACCTTTATTAGTGGTCTTAGGAAAGCTATCACCTCCCTACAACAATTTCTCAGATAGCAAGGGCTGCTATGTCTGCTATTTATAAACCCTTTCTTTTTCTGTCCAGACTTCCTCATATATGTTTACTAGTCTTCTGCTAAAGGGTTATTCCTTTTGCTAAAAAAAGTAGAAAAAAATTAAAGTTATTGACATTTATTTTATAGTGTTTAGTTTACATTGCAATAAAAGCGTTTGTGGTTACTCAACTGGTAAAAGCCTGTTCCGCAGTAAGGCCTAGAAAATTCTAATTTGTTTATGTGAATATCTCACCCAGAGCACAGACCTGCTGGAAGGTTTCTGCCTCTTTAAAAAAAGAGTCTCAAGTGCTTTCTATAGACCCAACTTCTGCTCTATGTTTCAGCTATCCTCAACCTCCACCCTGTCCCTACAAGGTTTGGCAGCAGAAATGCCCAAGCATCTCCCAGGGGTCTATTACCAGACCTATCCAACCTCTCTTCCCTGGGGCTCAAGGGTTCACAGAGTTTCAAACAAACTTGCTAATGGCAGCTCTCCTGGCAGTCTCCATCCCCATGGCAACACAAACTTCAGAATTGAACGTAGCAAAAGCAGGAACACTGATTCATATTTCACCGAATATCTGCTCAACCTTCCATCTAAGAGGCACCCTTGCCAGATGTTTGCTTTTACCCAAAGATGTTTCTATCACCCATGCTAAATGAAACAAGCAAATAGGGAAAAGAACCTTCTCCCAAATCACTATCTTTGTGTGACCTTTCTCTAAGCTAAAAAAAATAATAAAAATAAAAGGAATCAAAAAAGAAGAAATCTGTGGGTCAACTGGATCCTTGAGAACAGGACCTCTATCTGATTAATCTCTGTATGATTTTCAGTATTTACCATGTATTTAAATTATGATATACATGCACAATTCAGATATTTAATCAACATTTCTTGAATGAGAAGGAATCTGAGAAGATTAGGCTCTAACAAAGCCTAATAGGTAGAGTTAATGCTAAAAGTGCCATTTAAAATGACTTTTAAATCTCTCTGAAGATCTCTGGCAGCAAACATCACTAAAACACAGAAAAAGAAAAGGCTCATTTCAACGGTAAAGTCCCCAATCCCTACAGGCTTATGACTTAAGGAGATAATGATAAAGTCGCATCATACTCCAGTCTACATTACCCGAATTCAACTCTATATCCTCAGTAGCAACCGCCAAGAAAAGGAGAACTTCAGGAAGTATGCATCCCAATGCAAAACCGAGATATGAGAGGAGACACCACTATTCTGCAATCAGCTTCATGCCTGTATCTTCTCCCAGGATGGTCACTGTGCCAGTGGATGGGAGTCTAGCTGCAAAATGCATATGATATGCCTCTTGAATACCTACGTATATACTGTGAAAGGAAAATAGAATCTTGGCACCCCAAACTCACTATGCCAAATGGAAAGTTAAGCTTAGAAACTGAGTCACACAAAAACTGCCTTCCTTTTTGTTCCCAAATAGCTGTAATTCCACATGCTTACTTTATCTTATGTAACATGTTAAAATGTAGATTAACCAAGCAAGAGAAGAATGCAAAATTGGCTTTTCCTGTACTCTTCTTTGCACATGTAACATGTAGATTCACTGAGTGCTAATCAGAGCCTACCAAGATGGAGCCGCTTGCCTCACTGCCTGCCTGTCCTCCTTTTCTTTTTCTTCCCCAAATGCTTGCTCTTTCTTTCTTTCTTCTTCTTCTTCTTTTTTTTTTTGAGATGGAGTCTTGCTGTGTCTTCCAGGCTGGAGTGCCGTGGCGTGATCTCAGCTCAAGAGCTGGGATTACAGGTGCCTGCCACCACACCCAGCTATTTTTTTTTTTTTTTTTGCATTTTTAATAGAGACGGGGTTTCACCACGTTGGCCAGGCTGGTCTCAAACCCCTCACCTCAAGTGATCCACCCACTTTGGCCTCCCAAAGTGCTGGGATTATAGGCATGAGCCACTGTGCCCAGCCTCTTTCTTGGTTAAATACTGAACATCCCAAAACCCTCTGTGGATAAAGCATAGGTTGCAGATCCTACTGAGGCACGTGTTTGTTTTTCTCAGGTGCATCTTCAACTATGGTAAAATACACTTCTGATGGATTGAGATCTGCTTCAGTCACTTTTTGGTTTACTACATGTATATGCACATGATTTGATGGGTGATCTGTAGGACTCTAACAGGCACTTCTGCTTCTGTATGTTCTCCTTGCTAAATGTCTTTGCAACCTAAACCCCAGCCTTAGGGTTTAGGGTTGAGGCTACACAGTGAAAACAACACTTTCCCTCAGTCACTACCTAAAATGTGGAGGGTACCTCCCTCCCTCACCTCTATACGCTTTCTCACTGCCATCACTAACAAGTTCTGGAATTCTGTACCCCTAACCAAAAGTCCCACTCATCTCTTCCTTATCTTCACTCATTCCCCGCATACCTTCTCAATGTCCCCTGAAACACCGAACTGCAGTGAACTACTATCCCCACATCCTTCACCTCTTCAACTGAACCATGCCTGCCCACCCAGCATTCTCTGAAACATGGCTGCCCATAGGCTAGCACCTCTATGGTGGTCCTCACATGGAAGCTGGTACGTGGAGACCATTTGACTTGCACCCTGTAAATGCTAACCTCCATTTGGCATTCTAGATCTCCACCATTTGCTACAACCCACCTTCACAGACTTACCTTCCAATCACTTTCAATGTTCCTTCAATGCCAGGAAAAATATTGCTCAACTATAGGAATTGTGACTTTCCCTCTTCTGTAGCTTCACTTACCCTGGTCTCCACTCCTAGAACACCCATCTTTCCCATCCCCACTGTTGGAGGTTCACATTTAATTTCTTCTGCAATGCTTTTGTGATTCCCTAGTAAGAACAATATGTTCCTACACTAAACTCCTAGAGCACTTTCTCTATTTCCCTATTTAAAGCCTTCCCATTTTCTTCTTTTAAATACATCATGTGCACATTTTACCTCCTCATTAAAACAGTAAACTTCCTGGAATCAGAGACTGTCTCTCTTTCATAATACTGTTCACCATCATCAGTGTCTTCTATTTTATATTGGTGGGTTACTGACCCCCGCAATAACTGGTAATTTTCTTGTCCTAATCCTGTTTGTACAAAGCCAAATATGCACTGGTACAATTGTGTGGTGAGCACTATGTGGTCATGAATGGAAGCGCACCACTGTCTTTGGCATACTAGAAATGATACTAGGAATGAAATATTCTCATGTATAACAGGCTGCATTCAGAATTCAGTCTAGTTACAACATGCTGTAGGTGTCTTTCACACACGAACAAGTACTCACTGCTCTCAGGTTCCTACCATAAATACGTATAATGGGCTTTCTTTCTATTGACCACCACAGTAATTCTAGGGGAAAATGTTCTGAACCTAAAAAGCCAGAGGCCGGGTGCAGCGGCTCATGCCTGTAATCCCAGCACTTTGGGAGGCTGAAGCGGGCAGATCACTTGAGGTCAGGAGTTTGAGACCAGCCTGACCAATGTGGTGAAACCCCATCTCTACGAAAAATACAAAAATTAGCAGGGCATGGTGGCAGGCACGTGTAATCCCAGCTATTCAGGAGGCTGAGGCAGGAGAATAGCTTGAACCTGGGAAACAGAGGTTACAGTGAGCCGAGATTGCACCATTGCTCTCCAGCCTGGGCGGCAGAGTGAGACTCCATCTCAAAGAAGTACTTAAAAAAAATTCATCAAGAAGCCGGAAGACTGGAGCCCTGTATCCCTGGCAGTGGGTGTGTGTGTGAAAGACAAAGAGACACAAATTTCTAAAGACTTAAGTGAATAAGAGCCTGTGAACTTTCATAAAACGAGTGTTCCTCATAAAAAAAATTGTGCATGTTTTTATTCTGACCCAATACGCACATCCTTTGACATGCATCTGTCTTCGTTATTTTATATGCGACAAAGTAAACTAGTAGCAAAAAGGTGGCCAGCTGCGTATTTGGGGGCAGATCTTTCTTTTCCATTTTCTGGTGCTTCTCTGAGGTCTTTAGTCAGATGCCTCAGTACCAAACTGGTACCAGTGTGGACAACGAAAGACGCAATGACTATCTGTTGCTGTAAATACATATTTCAAACAACACTGCAAGTTTTGACAGTAACCAACATAATTATATTGTTTCTAACATTAAGAAACCTGGAATATCCTAAGATTCTATACGTCTATTTAAGAAGACTTTTAAACAAGACCATAGAGAGGTCAATTCTCGTCAGCCACATGAAATAGTCTTGTTAATCTCTGGTTGAAAGTGGCTAACAGAACAGATTTAAGTGTTATTTTATTTATCTATTTATAAATGATTGTTATGTTAGTGCTGCTATAATCCTCTTCAATTTTGTGTTTCTAAATTTTTCTGTCTGAAAACCAAAGTGAAAAGTTAAGTTTCAATTCTTTCCAATGAATTAGTATTTTAAACATTTTTTTTAGTTGAGGGAAAACTGTAAAGGTAATACTCTAGAAATCTGAATTGTATTTAAATTTGAACTCATGTTAGAACAGACATCTGGCACACATACTTGTCTGTAATACTTGAATCAAGCAGAACAGAACAAATCTCAAGTCAGAAATAAAATGTCTTGGCCCGGCATGGTGGCTTACGCCTGTAATCTCAGCACTTTGGGAGGCCAAGGCGGGTGGATCACTTGAGGTCAGGAGTTCGAGACCAGCAGGGCCAACATGGTGAAACCCCGTCTCTACTAAAAATACAAAAATTAGCTGGGCATGGGGGCAGGCACCTGTAATCCCAGCTACTCAGGAGGCTGAGGGAGGAGAATTGCTTGAACCCTGAAGGCAGAAGTTGCAGTGAGCCAAGATTGTGTCATTGCACTCCAGCCTGGGCGGCAAGAGCAAAACTCAAGAAAGAAGGAAAGAAGGAAAGAAAGAGAGAAAGAAAGAAAAGAAAAAGAGAAAGAAAGAAAAAGGAAGGAAGGAAAAAAAGAAAGAAAGAAAAGAAAAGAGGGGGGAGGGAGGGAGGGAAGGAAGGAAGGAAAAGAGAGAAAGAGAGAGAGGGAGAGGGAGGGAGGGAAGGGAAGGGGAGGGGAGAAGGAAGGGGAAGGGGAAGGAGAAAGGAAGGGAAAGAAGGAGGGAGGGAGGGAGGTAAGGAAAGAAGGAAATGTCTCAAACTCCCATCTTCAAAGGTGCTAAGTTTTCACTTCTTTCAAACAATGGTAAGATTAAGCAAAGACAAGAAAATTTTTACAAATTATTTAAAAGGAAATATTAGAGAACAGTCTGTTTCTATTACCTCTTACAGAATGAATCCTCTTTTTCACTCTCTATAAGTTTTTGTTACTAGAGTTGTACCAATAAAGTACTAATTTAATAAAGGCCATCTGAGACTCACCAACATTTTACCACCAGTTTCCCTGAACTTACTAATTTGCAGGAGTATTTGTGGCACTTTTATAGAAACGTAAAATCTAAACATTTAAAAGTTTCTAAATGGCCAAGCATTTTAAAAACCTGCAAAAATATAACAGACACAGCCCTACCACCAGATACAAACTTAATATCAACAAAACATACAATGTCCTGGGCCTTTTAGGCTTAGAAAACATATCATACTAAAAGGTTAGAAGAAGTAGAAATGTCTCTCTATATTCAGAACCCACAGTGATTCATTATATAATGCTAATTCCAAGAGCAAAAAAAATTAAACCACAAACTTGATATTGTAAGGAACCCTAAACCCACCCTCAAACAAGTCAAAACTATACTCAAAGTTCTTACAGCCTCAGCTCTCAGGAACCTCATTCCTAAAAGGTTCCAAAATCTCTCAACCAGGAATACATCTCTCACCTGTGGTTTTCCTGGAAGTATATACACCATCCTAACATAAGCCACCGGCCTGGATGTTTTATTAGTACCATTTGAGCCAACATGTATAGAGTTTACCATGCACTAGGTAATGTACAAATGGCCTTTGGAAAGGCAATTATGACAAGTTAAGACATTTTGGTTGTAAGTGTCAGAATCCCATTAAAGAGTATTTAATAAGTTATCCTTATTTCATCTCCATCATCTCTTTCATTTCTCAAAATAGCTTTATAAGATAGGCCTTATGGCCAGGTGCAATGGCTCATGCCTATAATCCCAGCACTTTGGCAGGCTGAGGCAGGTGGATCTCTTGAAATCAGGAGGTCTAGATCAGTCTGGCCAACATGGTGAAACCCCATCTCTACTAAAAACACAAAATTAGCCAGTCATGGTTGTGCACTCCTGTAATCCCAGCTACTCGGTAGGCTGAGGCAGGAGAATCACTTGAACCTGGGAGGTGTAGGTTGCAGTGCGCTGAGATCGTGCCACTGCACTCCAGCCTGGGTGTCAGAGTAAAACTCCATTTAAAAAAAAAAAAAAAGGCCTTATTATTTTCCCTATTTGAAGATGAATTGAAACTCGCAAGGGTTAAGTAACTTGCCCAATGTGTGATGACTAAAGAGTTCAGGAGCGTGGATAAGAATTCAGGCTTGGAGTTGGTGTTCATAATGACTAGGGAATTCTGGTCATTACATGCAGGACAAACACAGACATGCTAGTCTTATACTTGTCCATTAGCTACACCATCCACTGAAAATAAAGTAAAATAGGTGTAGGCTTTTCGCAGTGAAGGCTGATGACACTAAAATTAATAAAACCTGGATAGCAAGGGCAGCCTGGAGTGGGCTAATGGGCACAGGACAAGGGTTTCACATCCAGTCTCTGCCACTTCCTAGCTCTGACACCTTCAACTCTGAACATCTCTTTCTTCCCTACTCTCAGGGATATTGTACAGTTTGAAAAAAAATTACAAAAAAACAATGCGTGGAAAACTAGAAAACACAATCAAATGGCATCTCAGGGAAACAGTGAAGATTCAAGAGAAGAGAAAAACATTTCCAATCAACTCTCCAGATGGAAGTGCTAGCTTTTTGCCTCTTTTGAGAAGGAGTCTTGCTGTGTCGCCCAGGCTGGAGTGCAGTGGCATGATCTTGGCTCACTGCAACCTCCACTTCCCCAGTCCAAGTGATCCTCCCACCTCAGCCTCCTGAGTAGCTGGGACTACAGGCACTTGCCACTACACTCGGCTAATTTTTTGTATTTTCAGTAGAGACGGGGTTTTGCCATGTTGGCCAGGCTGGTCTCGAACTCCTGACCTCAAGTGATTCTCCCACCTCAGTCTCCCAAAGTGCTGGGATTACAGGCCTGGGACACTGTGCCCCACCACTTTTTGCCCTTGAAACATGCCAAGATCCTGGTTTTGTAATCCCGCACGGTCCTAGACTTTCTACCTTCTTAGTTTCCTCTACTATTCATCTAGATATATGCCTAAAGGAGGATCAGTTAGCTCCACAGAGAAGAAACAGAGTATTTATGAAATGTCAGCTTTTGCTCTGCACATAGTGGGGTGGGAGGTGAGGGGCAGACACTGATGTAAGCATTGATGTAATAACAGAAGTGTGTTATTGCCACTAATAATCTGCTTGCCCAACATCTTTATTTATTGTATTTGACTTCTCCGGGTAACAATTCCCACCCTCCTTTCTGCATTAAACTCAGAATTGTGCCCTGCTGCCAACTCTGATGGTACTTGATCCCAACTGGTTCATCAGAGTGCTTCATCCTTGTCCAAACAGATGAGTCCAAACGGTGGTGTGTGAACGGTGGTGTGTAAACTAAGTGAGTCAAATAAGAGTCCTTCCTTTTTTTTTTTTTTTTAAACTGGAATTAAGAAGGATGAAGAAGAACAAATAGCCTTTTTTTTTTTTTTTTTTTTTTTTTTTTCTGCTATCAAAGCCGGGAAGAAGGGAGCCTGGAGCTTCCAACTGCCATGTTGCTGCCTGCATGGGGAAATCTGGTTTGGGTTATAGAGAATCAAATACCCATGCGGGGGAGACACAGTCCAGGCAGCATCCTGCCCCCAGCCCAGGAATACCCCTGACTGTTACAGTTATGGGTGGCAACATATCTCTTGTTGCCTATGCAACTTTGAAATGGGATTCTGAAGCTTACAACCAAAATATCCTAACTTATCACAATCCCCTTTCCAAAGAATAACCCTACATTTCTTGGCTGGAGAAATTGAGTGAAACATGCTAGAAGAGACCCTAATGCCTGGCAGAAGACAGGACTGAATGTCCTTAACAGATCTACCCAATTCCACTTGCAAAATCTCCAGTGCTGTTAAACATAATGGACAATTATGACTACAAAGATCTAAAAACAACAAGAACAGCGATTTTCTCTGCAGGTAGGCAGAGTGTGCGTTTAATGATGCAGCCAGCGGTACCAAATAGAGCACACACGGTCTTGAGCACCTTGCAAGGCGGTAAATGAATCTTCTCTTCCATTGAATTAAGATTCCATGCAAGAATTATCATTACTTTAAAAAATATATGGAAAATCTTAATATGTTAATTTCCCCCAATTAGTAAGATTCCCAAACATGTTATTAAATTTCTCTAAGATGTCTAGTATTGTGGTAAAATGTGACAATACTATAATCAAGCTTAAAAGAGCATTGTCAAGAATACAACGTATTGGTTTCTAAAACCAACATAACTGTTTTCCCTCTAGCACGTCAGTGCTGCTCAAATGTCATTAAGACTATAAAAATTTGATTTAGTTAGTCTTCTTGTCCTCACAAGGGTTTTTCAACACACAAACACACAACCCACCAACATTCTAATTTTTAATGGCAGTGGGGCGTGGTTTTATCACGAAGACTAAGAATTGAAAATTTTAAAAATATAGAGGCAGTACACATGACTCTGAATGCATGTTCTGATGCCAGTATATTTACACGTATATTCCCAGGAAGATATATTTTCACAGACTCACTCTCAATGCCATCAGGAATCCACTTCTACTAAATAGAAAAGGGTGCACTATAGTTTGAAAAAGGCTGGAGGGATGGCAAGGACTTATTCTTTCACCTTTCCCTGGAGTCTGGCATTTTCTTAAGCCATCTGTAGGAATCTGAGAGCTCTCAGGTCAACTTCATTCATTCATTCTGTAAAGTGGACCTCAGTTCTTTTTGTTACCATCCTACATCCATTCATTCCTCCTCCAGAAATAGCCCTCTGAGAAGGAACACCCCTCCTCATTCTTAGCCTTGTGTGGAGTTGATTTTTCTCCCACCTCTAAAGTGAACTTATGGCTTGGGCCAGGCCCATCAGTGGGTCACAGATCCCCAGCCTCAGTGATTAGTTCATGGACATGCCATCATCCAACCAGAGCCAATGAGGTGCACTGCAGTATGAACCAGGAAGAAAGTGGGCCTAAAGCTGTTGGGAGCCATCTTGTCATCACCTAGAGCTGAGAATGAAACCAACATGGAAGACAGTAGAGGCCAGAGATGGAAAGACATCAGCTGCCCAATGACATCAATGAGCTATTGACAACTGGGCTCTGCAGTTACATGAGTCCATAAATGTCCTTGTTGCTTTAAAGCCAGCCTGAGTCATGTTTGTGGTCTCCTGCAACAGAGAATTCTAACTGATGTACCCTGTTTTCCCTCTTTTAGACGATCAGCATAGGGAAATTCTGGGGGAAGGATGTGAAAAAGTGGGAAGATTGGTTCTGTAACTACAAGTGACAAGCAAGAAGACACTGTGACCCAAGAAGTATGAGTTCCCAATAAAGTGTTAATCTCCGCTACCTAGTATGAAACACCTACCTTACAAAATATAAGCATTTGGTCAAAAGCCTAAAAGTGAATGGGCAAAGTACTCTAAATTGAGGTTGAACTCAGATGACTTTATTCAGAGAGCAATATTTTTCCCGTACAATTATGCCTGTTATCACTAATTTTCTACATTTTATTTTAAAATGTAAATAGATCTGGGTTGTGAGGTAATGGGCAATCTTTATTTTCTGGGTTATTTTCAAGGGAGTATTATATGCCTTTTGTAATCAGAAGAAACCTATTTGTAAACATAAAACAAGAATGAGAGTAGCATATATTTTAAGTTAAATCATCTGGTAAACATGTAAATTCTTTCCTGAACAAAAGAATTACTCATTGTACACAAGACTTTTCTAGCCCTACCAAACCACAGCTATACCATTGACTTCTGATCATCTTTAAATTAAACTTATTTTTTTTAAAAATATATATGCCAAAAATATAATAAAAAAGAAGAATCAGTTTCTTTTTAAATTACCACCAATGCAACAGTATGATCATGCTCGATTTTCTTTGTAATTGTATGCTATTACAGCTATTATTAGTATAATAAGGTTATTTAGGCTAGTAGCTAGCCACCATTTATTATGTATACTTAATAAGATGAGGATTATAAATGAACTAAACAGAAGAAAACAGTTGTTTTAAAAATTTCTTGGCTGTTAGACTGTATTAAAAAGTTCCAAGATCAAGTAGATTTTATAAGGTCTTTGCAGGGAAACACAAGCCTTAATCAAATCAACATCATTGGCCTATGTCAAGGAACCACAGTTAAAAATCATTCACAAGGAGCTTGTATTTGGGAAAATAATACATTTGCTTTTCAAAACAGAGTTCTATAATCTAGCTAATTTTCCATTACATGCCCTAAATCCATCTTCCAGGATCACACGGCATCAGAAGAAAAATAACCATTGATAAAAAGAGCCTAGAGCTTGGTTTTCAAATGTTTCAGTAAAATGTGGAAAATTTAATGGACAAAATGGATGTTTAGCTCCTGAGAGCAGAGAACAAAAAAGTGGCAGTGTGAGGTGCTTCATATATTCAAAATTTAGCTCCTTACTCCATAAAACAACAACAGCAACAAAACACACACACTCACACACACACACACACACACAAAGAAGGAAGAAAGATGTAAATCTAGATGAAGATATCAAGAAATCATCTGTTTTTGCAGAATGAAGGCTCTTTAAGTAAGATACTGGCTCAATCAATTTTGGGGGGAAAATTACTTAGTTATCTGGTGATTAAGAATTCTTCTCCTACTAGTTGGTTTATTCAGCAGCAGTCCTTCCAGCCTCATTAACAGCCTCCCAAGCTTGCTTTCTTTTAGTTATATTTTTAGAGACAGGGTCTTGCTCTGTTGCCCAGGTTTGATCATAGCTCACTGCAGCCTTGAACTCCTGGGCTCAAGGGATCCTCCTGCCTCAACCTCCCAAGTTGCTATGATTACAGGCATGAGCCATCATGTCCAGCAGTGTTTGCTTTTGCAGGAGAAGTAAAAAGGGAACAAAAAATGCAAACAAACAACAATTTTTTTAAAACCCAGCAATAGGGAATATAGAATGTCTGCATGATTACTCATTAAGATAGAGAGGTTTCTATCCTAAGTGGCTTCACCAGAATTTCCACACCAAAGGGGTTTCAAGGCAACAAACTGCTTGCAATGGGGTTGGGGTCGGGGGTGACCTCGGGGAACTTACTGAGAAGCTTCACTGGTGTAGTAAACACAGGGTTTTCACTGGGGCTGTAAAATTGCTTGAATATATGACACGTGTCTTAAAGCTGCATTTACACTTACCTGGAGAATGTTCTGGTTTTCCTTAAACTATAGATTTGTTTGTGATGATAGAGATTATGAGCAAGCTGAACTACTTCTCCCCCCAACGGCTACCCCCTGCGCCATTCTGTATTATTATCCTCACTTTCCAGAGGAGCTGAGATTTGGAGTTGATAAAACTTCCCCCGATCATGCAGGTACTGAGTTGCAGGGCCTCGAATAAAATAAAGACAATTTTTCACAGTCGATGCGAGCATTTCTGAGATGAGATGCAAGGTTGAATAGCCCAGTAAGAGGGAAACTGGTGAACATTTTCCCCTCACTGGCCCTCCTCCCCGAGGCTGTATCATTGTGCCTTTATCCTTTATTGTTTTTTATCTTATTTTAGACTCAGGGAATATCTGTGCAGGTATCTTACATGGGAATATTGCATGATGGTAAGGTTTGGGTTTCTACTGAACTCATCACCCCAATAGTGAACACAGTACCCAATGAGTAATTTGTCGACCCTCCCCTCCCCTCTCACCCTTCCCCCTTTTGGAGGCCCCAGTGTCTACTGTTTCCATCTTTATGCCCATATGTACCCATTGTTTAGCTCCCACCCACTTATAAGTGAGAACATGCAGTGTTTGATTTTCTGATTCTCAGTTAGTTCACTCAGGATAATACCCTCCAGTTCCACTCATGTCGCTGTGAAAGACATGATTTCATTCTTTTTTAAGCAGCTAATAATTATTCTAGGTACCTTCACCTTGAAGAACAGGGTGCAGGTGGAGTAGCAAGGGAGGCTGGAGGGCCAGCCCAGGGCTTTCCAGGATTTCCAGTCTTATTCTCAATGAGCGGGAGAGGAAACGGGAAGACTTGGAGATTCAGGGGATTTAGGGGCCTGAAAGCACCTCCCTCCTCTGTGCATTTCTTTTTTATTTTATTTATTTTTTATTATTATACTTTAAGTTTTAGGGTACACGTGCACAACGTGCAGGATTGTTACATATGTATACATGTGCCATGTTGGTGTGCTGCACCCATTAACTCGTCATTTAGCATTAGGTATATCTCCTAATGCTATCCCTCCCCGCTCCCCCTACCCGACAACAGTCCCCAGAGTGTGATGTTCTTTTCTCCTGTCTCCATTCTAGAGCCACCTGGGGCCCTCAGTGGTTTTTACTCT
The DNA here is from genome assembly GCF_000001405.40 of Homo sapiens. Taxonomy (NCBI): domain Eukaryota; kingdom Metazoa; phylum Chordata; class Mammalia; order Primates; family Hominidae; genus Homo; species Homo sapiens. Next base: position 18,166,664 of record NC_000010.11, on the reverse strand, counting down.
CCTCTCCTCTGTCCTGGACTAGACTTCACAAGCCAATAGAACTGGTGGTCAAGTAACTATCCACAAAATAATAAAGGGTATCTAATCTCTTAAGCATATCTAGGAATATTTATGAGTTTAGCGATTAAAACAAAAACTTGGCCAGGTGCGGTGGCTCACGCCTGTAATCCCAGCACTTTGGGAGGCTGAGGTGGGCAGATCACCTGAGGTCAGGGGTTTGAGGCCAGCCTGGCCAACAAAAATTAGCTGGACATGGTGACACACGCCTGTAGTCCCAGTTACTCGGGAGGCTGAGGCATGAAAGTCGCTTGAACCTGGGAGGCAGAGGTCACAGTGTGCCAAGATTGTGCCACTGCACTTCAGCCTGGGATAGAACTACAGTCTGTCTCAAAAAAAAAATCCTCATAAATATCTGTATTATTAATTGAATTATTATTAATTGAATCAGGATTGAAGTGTCTTAATTTTTAAGATTTGTCACTGTTCATTTATCCTAGAAATACTTATGACCTTAATAATAACGTTAGTTTACATAAGTAATCTAGATTCATTCTAAATGTAAACCTAAAGACATCCATAGAAGGAAACAGATGTATACTTGTACATATACAGTCATATATATTACGAATATAAGATCAATTGATATTTACAGCCTGATTTTTAAGCTAAATAACTTTCTTAATAGACTACTTTCGATCTAAAATCTAACATGAACACAATATTTTGGACCCAGAAACTTACAACTCTTCAAACCATAGAAATGTAAACATCTATGGTCAATCTAACGTCAGTTGCAAAGGAAATGAAAAGACATGTGGCATTTGTTAATAAACATACTGCCCTTTAAAATGTTCCACACTAATAGAGCAAGCTATAAAAATACACTCTTATTTGATGTTTACTGGGATAGACTACTTCCTGTACAGGTTATTCAGAATTGGTATATGTAAATAAGGTGTTTCAAAAGATGTATAAACAACTTCCCTGGCATAATAGTGGTCTTGAGAAAAGCAACACGATATTGCAGGTATACTACCTGTACCTGGCCAACATGGTGAGACACTGTCTCTATTAGAAAACAAAAATTAGCTGGGCATGGTGACATACGCCTGGAGTCCCAGTTACTCAGGAGGCTGAGGCTCAACAGTCGCCTGAACCTGGGAGGCGGAGGTCACAGGGAGCCGAGATCGTGCCTTTGCACTTCAGCCTGGGCGATAGATCGTGCCTTTGCACCTCAACCTGTGCCTTCTTCCAAAAGAGGGCACAGGTGCAGTGACATCGTTTCTCTCTGTTTTGACATCGACACCTTCAGGAGTTGGCTGCACTGTACCTATCTGGACTCAGCCAGCCACCAGCCGCAGCAGATGGAACTCATCGCTTTCCATCCCTCCTCTCTGCCCTTCCACAGGATGAGCTCTCGGATGACGCATTCCTTCCCAATTTCTTCTCCTAGAACATTTCAACTCATTCTTCAATATCCAGCTCAAATATGACTTTCTTGGCAATGCTCCCTCTTCTTCCCAACAGTAGAATTAATCAGTCGCCTCCCCGTGTACCCACCACATTTTTGTATTCAGCTCTTTTGCAGAACTCGTAATGCTGGACTTCACATCATGAGTACATCAATACTTTAATATTTTAATCTAGGAACCATGTTATTTTGTTCTACATTTGGCCCACTGCCTGGCAAAGGCACTCCATATGTTGGTGAAAAAAAATGAATGAATAAATGAATGAATGAGTCAGTAAGAACCCATGACAAGAACTTAGTACAAATAAAGTCTAGCAGAGTCAGGAAGTCCGTGTATTTTTGGCCTGTTTCCCACGCAGTTTTCACATACACACGCACACAAAACGGTCAGAGAAATAGTTTCATAATAAAATGTAGACACCTCCAAGTCCTAAATCCAGAGTTATTCTTCTGCTTTGAGTAAAAAAGACTAAACACAGATGTCCGGGCTGAAACATCTGGGTTTGAAATCAGGCTACGTGTAATCTACCATCATTATTATACAGTTTATCTCGTTTGCCTTATAGATCACAGCTTCAGGATGTTCATGCTTCTTGTATTAATTGCAAGAGCCAGAAACAATGAAAAATGTTAGTAAAATTGTTTTGGCCTCTTTTCTAGGAATATTGTAAACATCTCCCCAAAGACCCATTGCCTGCAGAATTGTCTAACACACACTAACCAATTCTTCTTCCAAAAGAGGGTAATTACTCATGGTAAAGGGCAGTGTCTCTTGGTAACCAAATAACCTAGTTTCTTTCAACGATTGCTCTCCCACAAACAAATGGCCTGAGGCAGAGAGAGAATGGCTGATTTTCAACTTATATGACCACTAATGACCACTTCTGCGCAAGGGAAAACGTCTATTAGTCAGTGGCACTGGTTCAAAGGGCTTTACATAAGTTCACAGAAAAAGCCACAACAGGGACTTAAGATAAACAGCTGTCTGCAGCTCTAAACCCTGTGACCTTCAATTGACATCTAGTAGAAAACCTGTTTACATTGTGATTGCACATGGTGGTATTTTATCTGTCGTAAAAGTTTACAAAGATCTTTTTAAAACTGCAAAACTCTGTAATAACCTTGCCAATAGAAAGCATCAACCTCTACCTCCCAACTCTGATTTAGTCCTGCCCTTTGGCCCTCAAAACATCTCTGAAGAGGCAGATAGGCAGGACATCATCTAAGGAATCTTCCAACAACTCCCTTCCCCTTCCCACAATTCCACTCTGCCTTAGGATGAGTGAAAGCACTGCTTCTCCACGTGCCACAGTAGATTACACAGTCAACCAAGCACCAACCTCATAACCTTAATAACCCTGCTCTGGGGTCCTGGTCTCTCTCACAGAACTCCTGCCCTTTATTTGACCTAGCCCCTGTCCATTCCCACCCACTCTACCACTTCCTCCTGCACCACACTATTAATTTTGAAAAGTTCCAAACCGGTAGAAAAAGCAAAAGAATGGTCCAATGAACACCTATATAACCTTTCTGTAGGTTCACTAACTGAACACCTCTGTTTCTTGATATATGCTCAATACGAAACAGATGACCCCCTGATTTCTTGATGTCAGTGTTGCGGCCCTGCCTGAGGCCAACTCAGCTCTTGGGATGCAACCCTCTTCCAAGGTATTGCCAAAGTCCTGGCTCAGGGGCGAAGACTTAGTGCCTCATGCCCATGGTCATGGTCAGTGGCTTTGCACTAAGGGTCTAGAATCACCACCCCCTTTTCTACCAGATCTCAGGTATCACTGTTGTTGAAAAGTCTCTTGTTGCCCAACAAACACGTAAACATTCCCAAGAGTAATACCAATTTGATATAATAAATACTACATATTTATAAGGATATATACTCAGGCCAATTAATTAATCTGTCAAGGTCTTCATTCATCATCTGTTAAACGGGGATACTAACATCATCCATCTCACTGAGTTGTGCAAATGATCAAATAAAGTACTCACTAGAGTAGCTAGCACATGGTCAGCATGCGTCCACTATTTTACCACCTTTTATCAAATGATTCCTTTACGATGCTTGATTTTCCAACTCTTCGACCTCTGTGTATGCTGTAAGCCTTTCATCCCCTCCGGCACACTGCTTCATATATATCCTGTCTTGGAGGTCCTTCATGGCCTGGTGCCCTTGTAAGCTTCCAAACTCCATGCACCCATCCATCGATCTCTTCTATCCATTTCTCCATGAACCCAGAATCTGAGCCTACCGGTATTTACCATCCCAGAAACACATTGTGCATCCCCACTGTTTTACATCAATGTTGCGATCAGTGTGCAAAAACTATCTATGCTCACTATTCAGAGTAACACATCACTTCCTCTCGGCTCACACAGGGCTTTCTTTTGCACCTCTATGAACACATACTTCCTCCAGGTTCACGAATGGCTGATGTTATGTAAGTAAGTCATGCCTTGGTTTACTAATTCCCTAGGAGCTGGTTCTTACCTAAGGTTTTTATGACCCAGTCTGACCCCTTGAGCTCTTCCAGGTCATAGAGAATCCACTGGGAATTGGTTTCAAAATGCACGTGTTCAGATCCCTGATGTTAATAATAATCTAATTGACAGAGAAATATTTCCTAGAGATTTCTAGACTTTACTCCTTAAACACATTCTGTTCAGAAAGCAGCATGACTGGAAATCAGACCTTGAAAAGAGTAAACAATGTTCTTCAGTACGATCCACACATTGGTGAACGAGTACGCGTCATTGAACAAATCAGCCAGAGATGACATCAGATCCTCGATTTTTTTTTTTCCTGACAAGTAATAATTCCACAGCAGGGCATTCTGGCTTACCATGTGGGTTTTCTCCTTGCTTCAGCTCTCCTTATAATTATCAGAGAGAAACATTAAGTGAGGCTCTTTATTTCTCATGCTTTTAGGTGTTAAATTTCTATAAGCTTAAAGTAATAACTTCAAGAACTCAATAGATGAGGTAATGTGCTATGAGAAATGGAAGTATAAAATTACTTCTAAATAATCTTAGCATACTGTGAAGGATACTGACTTAGGTATATAATTACATTGTAAAATATAGCCTTGTTTTTAAATATGAGAGAGAAAAGAATAAAAGGAAAACCTAAAAGTTACAGAACACGTACTGACACACATATATGTACAAATGCATGTGTCTATTCATGGCTGTCATGAAATTAATACAATTCATCTATTGTATTATTTTTTACATTTTATTTTATTATTTTATTTCTGAGAAGGAGTCTCACTCCGTCACCCAGGCTGGAGTGCAGTGGTGTGATCTTGGCTCACTGGAATGTTTGCCTTCCAGGTTCAAGTGATTCTCATGCCTCACCCTCCCCAGTAGCTGGGATTACAGGTGCCCACCACCATGCCCGGCTAATTTTTAAAAAATATTTTTAGTAGAGACAGGGTTTCAGCATGTTGGCCAGGCTGGTCTTGAATTACTGACCACAGGTGATTCACCTGCCTGGGCCTCAAATTTGCTTGTTTGTTTTGGTGGGAAGGGGCAGTTGTTATAAAAAAAAAAAAAGAGATTTGCCATGTTCCAACTTTCAGATGCGGCACCTGGACCACCAAGAAATCAACAAATCTTTCCATGGCAATGAGAATGGGGGTCATGAATAGGACTAAACTTTAAGGTTACACCTACAAGAGAAAGAAGACCCCTGGCTCAGAGATGTGCTTTCCAAGAAGGAAAAGCTGGTAGGGTCATAGTGTTCAGACTCTGAGACAGGAAGAGGAGAAAGTATGGTCAGGGCAAAGTAACCTTGACAGAAGTCTAAACAATCACACGATCCCCATACTCTATGCAAAAGAAGAAATGGAGGCTGGCACTTTTCTACAGATACTAAGGATATAAGAAAATATTAATGGAGATGTCAGGCTTGAAGCCAAAATAATTTTCTAGAACCTGATGACAGTTTTGGAAGGATAACACAGATGGCCAAGGCAATGGCAGGGGACAGGGACTTCCTGAAGAACTTTTACTACATTTTCCTAAATATGAATTAATGGAAGACTCTACAGAGCTTCTTCCATCCTTCTTGGATTATCTTCCTGTTTTCCCCTCTTCTTTATCCTCCAACTGCAATAAATACATGGTGAATGGGAGCATGATCAGCTCTGAGGCGGGTAGGGGGAGACACCATTCCTTTTTCACCAACTCAGGTCTTTGTAACAGACACACATGCTTGGTCACAATTGCGGACTAAAGATGAGACAAAAATTGGAAAACTTACTTAATGAACTAAGCCATAGCAAATATTTTTGAGATTATGTCTCAATACTGAACCCTCAAAAATGACTTCTCCAGCATGTGATAATCATCAAATGTGAAGATTCCAGAAACAAAACAAGAGAGAAAGGAACTGACTATATTTACATCTATAAGTGACAGAATAGGGAAGAGGGAAGTATTCTTTGATCATACCAGACCACCACCTTAGATGCCATGCCTGGGAAGACCTGAGACACAAGAATAACTAACTTTAAGCTAAGTAAGTAATCTTCAGTAGTACTCCTAAAAGTTTATGATTCATCTGAAACACATGCTTTTTATAAATTCAGAATTTAAGGAAATTCTATTTTCCTAGTTATGCTAGTTACTTTATATTAGATAATCAAGATAAACTTTCAACCAATCTAGTAAGGTTAATTCAGTTTGCGTGACTTCTAAGACTTTATATGGTTTAACCAAACAGAAGATGAATAAAAATGGAAGAAAATGAGGTATCGGTGGAAAGTGTAATTCAAAGCATATCTGAGAGTTGAAGAAAATAAAAGTAACTACAGAAAGAATTCTTGGTTTTAAAATGATGTATCTTCATAGAAAAGTATATACGCAAACATAAAAAAATCTCAATCCACAAAATTATTTTAATAACTGGAGCACTTAATCAAGCCTAGTTTATAAAGTGTTCCAAATACCTAAAAATAATATATGAATGAGGAAGATTTTTTCTATAATCAAACCCTTGTTCTCCCCAAAATTATGTTCAACGAGACATGTTAAAATTAATTATATGTTGAAGTGCAAAATCTAAATTTTGTTTTAATACTTTCTAAAGTACCTATATCTCCTAAAAAGAAAAAAGTAAAATGTTTTAATAGTATACAGGCTTATCCTACAGAAAAAACAAGGGACTTCTTTATTTAAAAAGGTCAATATTTTTATACTGATATCTTTAAGATGAGTTCTTAGGACACCAAACAGACTCTGCCATTCACAAAATCTAAGTGACTCCATAATAAGATAAAAAGAAATTTACAGGAAATCACAGTGGCAATAAATCTACTGAATTATTATTTATAGTGTGTTTGTGACGCATACAGCATAACAAGGCAACAGGCCAGTATTTAAGGGCTGAAAGATTTATCCAACCTTAAACATATCAGTCTACGCAGGCCTGGAGTCTGTAATCATTATCGCAGTTTAATCTGTCTTTGCAAAACAAAACTAAAAAATAGACTGTGTGCCTCTGTGATTAATCATTTGCATTTAAAGCCAATTTGAACTAATATAAAAGATCCAAAAATGCAGCACCAAGAACAAGGTACTGAGAGACGACGGAATTTGTTTAGAATACCATGTTCTGAAAGTGTCATGCAACCTTCTGTTAAATATTTGGTTCATTCCATTTTGTCATCCTGATTTGTATTCTAGAAGCTGTTAGAAGCTACAGGATAATTTCGTTACAACCACAGCATATGTTGGTGAGCAAAATCCCTGATCAGTTGCAAAGTTCTTCCCCGTTAACCCCAAAGAACAATGGCGCTTGAAAATCCCAAAAACAGTTGTGGATTCCTAAAGCTCAACTTTCTGCACAAAGGACACAAGTGTGCAACGCAGCAACCTATGGAAAAAAATCAGTGTAAACAGTTCGCGAGTCCGGGCTATACGCGGCAGGAGCATAGAGTAGAAAGCTCAGATGACAATGTACTTTCAATGAAAATGGCCATGCTGTGGAATCATAAAAATAAAGCAAAGCTGGCAGTCATCCTCTTAGCATTTGGTGTTCAACTTTGGAATGCTGCCAGGTACATAAATGTAGCCAAGGAGAACACATGTCTTTAAGAAAATGAAGACATTTTCAAAAAAGAAAAAGAAGACAAAACAGGGAGGGAGGGAGGAAGAGAGAGAATGAGAGAGAACAGAACTACACTAAATAAGCAGTGGCAGTTACTAACACTGCCTCCTCTACCTCCCCCCTCATCAAAGCTGCTTTAACTTTGATAACCAGTACTTATTTGCAGATGTACATATTTTTCCCTGACCTTGGCAGCATCAAAGAATTTATACACTTAGCAATTCTTGCACAATCTCTTGAAAAGAACAGCACAAATGTTCTACCCATCCATGCCAAGCAGGACTTGTTACTCTTCCCCACCTATTTTTCTTCCAGTAAGTTAATTTATCTGTTTAGATTTTGGCTCTAAAATAAACTTCTAAGACAACTAAACTTAGAGATTTTTTTTTCCTTTCTTTTGATGAAGTTAGGAGAAAAGAAGTGATATGAAAAACTAATTCACTTAATAGGCTATAAATTTGTGCAAAGTACTAAATACAAAAGATTAAGAATTATAGCTTTTCCAGGTTTATTACAATGATAAATGAAATTTTTTCATTCATGTATCTGTTCTCAACCCATAGCCAAAGAGTTTCTACGGGAATTGAAGACAACCTCAATAGCTGCAATAATCTTAATAACAAGTCCAAGATAACTATAGCTTTATGTATTGAATCTCTTATAGCACATAAACAATTTGAAAATAATATTCATTCATTCTAATAACAGTGCCTAGAGGTTATGTTTAACACTTTGTTCTCCGTAATAAATTAAAATTATGACAATTTACAAAGCAAAAGCCCTTATGAACTGGAAAGCAATTTCTAAATGAGGTTACTGTAAAACTAGGTGCCATAAATATGCCTAACTTTACCCAGATTCACAACAGGAGTGATTCATGGGCCCACATCAGCCTCCGCCAAACCTCAAAACAGGTGATTCATACTTGATTTCATTTCTGTTTATTTTTCTTTTCAAAAAGGACTTTCAGAATTCCAAAAAGTTTATGTTCCTATGACTTTTGTGGGAGAAAGGAAAAAAATAAATGCTCCTCCAATTCCAGTTCCACTTTTCATGACCAGCAAGAGTGCTGGAGGATGCCAAACAGTATCACAAACTAGGAATCTGAGGAACTTTTCATGAGAGAAGGGAATTATGCCGATCTAAAAAAAAATCATGATGCCTAGTGAAAATTTACAACGCTGAAGACATTCTCACTTTCCGGTACAGAAGGAAGTTAAAAGTAGAAGACTAACTTTTATCTTTCTATGTATTTGTCGTAGGAATTTTTCTGCATGTCTTCCTTAGATGAAAGAATGAAATTGTTATTATAATTTATTCATTTCCTTTAGCTACAAGGAAGTATAGCATAACCAATAAGGACAAGAATCTGGAGTCAATCACTTAGACTCAGATTTTGACTCCAACCTTACATTTGACGTGACTGTGGAAAAGTCACTTCACCTCTGAGCCTCCATTTCTCATCTGTGAAACGGGGAGACAGAACTTAAAGTAAGCATTTAATGAACACTATTATTTCCCTCTCCATAGTCTATTTCTTATTCGGGTTTTAACTAATGTTACAAATAGGCAGTAATATTTACAAATAATAGTAATAAACCCTTAAATAATGCATATTACGTATGGTTCTAAACAAATTACAAGTGATAACTCATGTAATCCTTACACCTAATTTTGAGGTAAGCATTTTTTTTCCAGAGGAAAAAGCTGCTGTACAGAAAGATTCAGTTACTTGTCCAAAGGCCAACTAATAAATAGCAAAGCCAGAATTCAGACTCATGTAGCCTGGCTTCCAAGTCCAGGCGTTCGCCACTAACCAGCTTCTTGAAGAAAACTGTTTAAATAAATCTTATAACATCATAATTTACATAAAAGATAAATATAGAAATTATACGTTCAGTATATAAGTGATCATGTATTGCACCTAGGTAACATTTTTGTCTGCAACCTAAAAGAATGACATTTAAAAAGCAATCAGATAAACCACAGTTCACTTTTTTTTTTTTTTTTGAGACAAAGTTTCGTTCTTGTTGCCCAGGCAGGAGTGCAATGGCGCAATCTGAGTGCAATGGCGCAATCTCGGCTCACCGCAGTCTCTGCCTCCTGGGTTCAAGCAATTCTCCTGCCTGCCCCAGCCTCCCAAGTAGCTGGGATTACAGGCATGCGCCACCACACCCAGCCAATTTTTTTTTTTTTTTCTACTTTTAGTAGAGACAGGGTTTCTCCATGTTGGTCAGGCTGGTCTCGATCTCCTGACCTCAGGTGACCCTCCTGCTTCAGCCTCCCAAAGTGCTGAGATTACAGGTGTGAGCCACCACGCCCAGCCCACAGTTAACTTTTGTTCCAATTAATGTTTTAGGAAACTGCAAGGAAGAACAGATTCTGTCTTTGAAATATTTGATGTACTGTATAAGATGAGCTAGTTTATCACTTTACAACAAGTTTATATGGAATAGAACCAACAGCAACCTCATATTTCACAGTTCATGGGAAATCCCACTAACATCTGCCACGCACAGCCAATGACCCCTATGGACAGACCCCTTCCTGTACTACTGGATCAAGACTCAGCCCTTACCCCAAAGGCTAACATGAATCCAGTTTCCGGGGGAAAATTAACTAACTTCATGGGGCATGTCATTTCCCCAATCCTCTTGTAACATATCACTGACTTCAAATAAGTTGATAATGTCAAGGGCCAGAAGACTAGTTAATTGACTAACTAATGGTGAACTGGTTTATTAACAAAATGGAACCTTCATCTATATATAACTGCAAAAATTCTTTCAAGGTAGCTGCTGTTCTGCTTTAGAGCCTAACACAGAAACATATCAAGAAGAAAACTTTCCTTAAGACCAGTGATTCTTCTTAAAGATAAGGTTCGTTACCTAACTAAACTATACAACTAAAAGTCTGGAAAGATAAAACCACTGGTAAATGCTTTTTACCCTTTTACTTTGTAGCCTTTTTCTGCTGATGTTACAATATATTCAAATATGTTTCACCATATTCTAATATTTATAATTTTAATTAAATTGCTACAGAATTAATTATGACTAATGAGAAATTGACTACAAAGAGTAATAAAATGCTCTGATAAAACCTTTCATGTATATAATGTGATATATATGGTATGTATATGGCATATTGACATATATATATATATATATATATAATATGTTCTCTCTCTCTCTCTCCCTCTCTCTCTCATTCTCTCTCTCTGTTCTCTAGATGTTCCCTAGGCCTAGCCACAGTTAAATTGTGGGTTAGATATCAGAAAAATGGGTATTAATACCACATTGAGCTACCACTGCACTGTCATAAAACTGACTGTAATGAAAAAGATTGACACTACTAAGTGTTAGCAAAGATGTAAGACAACTGAAACCATCACCCACTGCTTGTGGGAGTGCAAACTGGTACAACCATCTTGGAAAACTGTTTCATGATGTTTACTTTAGCTGAACACAGGCATGCCATATTACCTAGCATTCCACTCTATTCACTGAACAAAAATGCATACATATGTGTATGAAAGGAGCACATAAGAATGTGCATAGGAACATCAATCTCAGTTCCCTCAACTGGAAATGGCCCAATGTCTACCAACAGTAGAGCACATAAATCAAATGTGGTCTTTCCACACAGTGGAATGCTGTAAAATCACACCAACAAACCAAAATCAACCAAAGACAATCCACAAATTACTAAAATGTCCAACATAGATAAATATAACAGCCATAATGTTCAGTGAAAGAATTCAGATACAAAATGATTCCATTTACATAAAACTGCAAAAACAGGTAAAACAAATGTATGGTATTGGAAGTAAGGATGGTGATTATCTTTAGTGAGGAAAGAGGGAATATGATTGAGAAAGGTCCAAAAGGGGACAGGTGAGGCTGAATGCTTATTTCTTTACCTGGGTGGTGGCTCCACAGGGGTTGACCTTATGACAACTCACCAGGCTGAACACATGATTTGTGCACTTTTTGGCATATATGTTACATGATCAATAAGAAGGTTGATTTTAAAAGGCCCATTTTCAAGCCTAATTATATATTAATCTCTATTGGTCTGCTTGAGCTGCCATAACAGATTACTACAGGGTGGTTTCAACAATAATTAATTTTCTCGCAGTTTTGGAAACTAAAAGCCCAAGGTCAAGGTGTCAGCAGGGTTGCTTTTTGGTGAGGCCTCTCTCGCCTTAGCTTGCGGACTGCTGCCTCCTCACTGTGTCCTCACATGACCTTTTCTCTGTGTGCATGCAACCTCATTCTCTTTTTGTCTTCTTAAAAGGATAACAGCCCAGTGCGGTGGCTCATGTCTGTAATCCCAGCACTTTGGGAGGCCGAGGCGGGTGGATCACTTGAGGTCAGGAGTTTGAGACCAGCCTGGCCAACATGGCGAAACCCTGTCTCTACTAAAAATACGAATATTAGCCAGACATGGTGGTGCACACCTGTAATCCCAGCTACTGGGGAGGCTGAGGCAAGAGAACTACTTAAACCCAGGAGATGGAGGTTGCAGTGAGCCAAGATCAGGCCACCGCACTCCAGCCTGGGCGACAGAGTGAGACTCCACCTCAAAACAAAAAACAAAAACAAAAAAAAAAGATAACAGTCCTAATGAATTAGAGCCCCACTCCCAGAGGCCTCATCTCCAAATATAGTCACACTGGGTGTCTGCGCTTCTAAAGATGAATTTGAGGGTTGGATAGGAGGACAATTTATTCCTTAACAAACTCTCTGATATTCTCCAAGTTGTTTTTTTTTTTTTTAAAGTTCTTAATTCCTTTCCTTTATGTCAAATTTTCACATTATCAACCTCTAAAACTTTTAAATCTTGGTATTATAAAGACTACCTAAAAGTATACCTAGTGTTTCTGAATATTTTACTTTTTAAATTTCTTTCAAATCATATACTGTTTATAACAATAAAATTCTAAGGTTTTTAAAATTATATAGGAACTATTTTTAATCAAAGGGCTATAGTAGACTCTAACTGCAAGATATTTTAAAACAAAATTCTATTGGGCAAATATCTTTGTAATACCAATTATATATGTTCCCTAGCTACAGACAAGTACGCAATATGTGTCGATGCAAGTCACTTGTTTAAAAAACATACACTTACTTTAAAAAACAACATGTAAAGGTATTTTTTCTAATTACTTAATAATCTAGTATGCTGCCGGGCATGGTTGCTCATGCCTGTAATCCCAGCACTTTGGCACACCAAGGTGGGCGGATCACCTGAGGTCAGGAGTTCGAGACCAGCCTCGCCAACATGGTGAAACTCCATCTTTACTAAAAATACAAAAATCAGCTGGGCATAGTAGCTTGTGCCTGTAATCCCAGCTACTCGCAAGGCTGAGGCAGGAGACTCACTTGAACCCAGGAGGCAGAGGTTGTAGTGAGCCGAGATCGCGCCACTGCACCCCAGCCTGGGTAACAGAGTGAGACCCTGTCTCAAAAATAAATAAATAAATAAATAAATAAATAAATAAGTAAAATCTAGTGTGCCCATTGTCACTATCTGCCATGCATTCCTGCAAACACTCCAGGAAACCATTTCTATTAAATATCTGGCTATCTTATGGCAGCTTTTACTTATTTTCAAATGGCAGCAAAATGGGAATGCTGTTTTAACAGAATAGAGATTAAATTACCAAAGGAGAAATACAACTTTTAACTCAGAATTCTTGCCAAAGACGCTAGTTTTCCTTTTGTGACAGATGCAAGCCAGCATTTGAGGGTTTTCAATGATACGCCTGTGTAATCATTACCCCAAAAGCCATGCCATAGCAAACACCTCGTCCTATTGATATTCTAGGAAACAGACCTGTATATTTACCCTTTGGGATAAATTTGGTTTTGCCTTCTTACACGCTTATGTATGTTTTGGCAATATATACTAAAATTTACATTAAATCATTTAACAACTCTTGTTATCACTTATAATGGTGTTTAAAGCTACATACATTACTAAGAACACAAAAGAAAATTACCGTGAAGAAAAACAAATTCCAGTTTACTTATACACACTATGGTAATCCCTCCTTGCCATGTGAATTGGGTTATTAAAACTCTATGAAAAAGGAATTCACAGCCAAAAATACCATTTGAAAATGGAGTCCAGTGACTGCCTTCACGTGGCGTTTCTACAGGGATTAAATGACTAATAACGGGTTCTACACTGTTCGTTTCTATTCATTATGTCTTGCTTATTTGAAACATATCAGTTTTTCTTTCCGTGCAATTTCAACAAGCGGCTTGGCATTATTTGTTGCTTTACTGCAGCTACTATGCACACTAAGGAGCTAGTGTTTTGTTTTTTGTTTTTTTTTTTTTTTTTTTTTTTGGTCTGTTTCAGGTCCTGCATGATGACTCAGAGTTGTAGATTCTAACTCTAGCTCTCCAGGTTCAATCTCTTTGTCTCAGAGGCAGAATAAATAGCTTGAAATGGAAAAGGCGATGGGTAACTTTCCTTTAACTGACTCTCCCAAGTCACTATGTCCCAAGGCCCTCCCTTCATCAGCAGGACCATGATGCCTGGATTCTGCCCACGAAAACATGAGGCCAACGCATACACCTTCCACTCCTCTGACAGCCTTCCTAGCTCCTGCTGACACCATTAGAACATAGCTCTAGGGTTGAGCCTCACGTGGCTTCATCTTTTTTCTTTCTAAATGTTTCTAACCAAAAAAGCTTTGCCCCTTCTTAAGTAACTCTTTTTCTCACTTCCTGCAACCACAACAATTCCCAATTGGCACGGACCAGGACCAGTTTTTTTCCAGTTGCCAAGTTACTTGGAAGTACCACTGGCATACTCAAATGTTGCAAGCGGGGACTGATGGCTGGGGACAGATCATCCTTCGTCTAAGGACAGTGCAAAGAAGCAGCAACCAGCCAAGATCAAAATCCCCACCGATGCTGCAGGTGGACAAGTTCAAGTTCAACTGCAGCTAACTGTGGGAAGGAAACATGAGGGAGGCACTTGGGGAGTGCCACAAGGAGCCAATAAGGGTAGACAGCTAGGGAAATGTAACTGTCCCCAATAAAAATAAAACCCAAAAGGTCATATAGGATTTATAGGAAACAGTCCTGCCACACAAACAGGGGGCAGGGGTGGAATCTATGGCCATGATGATGGACTCAAGCGGCACTGGGGAAAGTGGCATCCAAATGACACGAGGCAGCTTTTCCAGTTGACTACCACTGTTCCGTAGAGTGAGCTGTCATTGACAAGAGATGATGAGAGTACTGATCAGACACTGGACATCCCTGGGCCACAAGAACAGATTCTCTGCTGCATGCTCTGCCCCTACTTTCCACCCCATGGAGAGGGGTTAGAGGAAGAAACAAGCTCACTCATTCCTGATGAGACTTCATTCTCAACACATAACCACAACCCTCAGAGGTCCAGCTGCCTCTATGCTCTTCCTCTGGTAATGGAATTCCTTTCTGTTACCATATATAAGCGTGTTTATATGTTAGGGAGCCTGGCACTGTCTGTTTAGGGGACTGTTCCAGGCTGCTTGGCAGGAAGATACTACACATTAAATGAGACGAAGGCTATGTCTCCAAAGGCAGAAATGGTTTAAATTATGTCTCAGTGATACTGCATGTTCTGTTTAACCTCGATAGCCTCAACCATTTCAAGACCAAGAATGATTTTCTAGTTTTCAATGCAAGCCCAAGTGAGAAGAAGAAAGCTCAACTAGAAGAACCCCAGTATCTCACAGGTAGGGATACAGATGCACATCAGCTCTCTGTCCCACTGAAAAAAAAAAAAAACAATCCCCCCAAATCCATAATCATTTCTGCTGGAGTTCTCTCACTGTTTCAAAGAAATCCTCTGTAATGAATGCCACACTTCTCTTTCCTCAACTTGCCAGGAAAGAGTGTAATTATTACTTAGTCTCACTTAAGATTAAAATATTTTAATTATGACATTAAACAGCACCGTCTTCACTTCAATTAAAAGTAAGTACAATCATACTACATAAATCTTAAGGAAAAGAGTGAAACCCACCTTTAAAAATCTAAAGTCATTTTAAGGTACTTATCAAAACCATGAACTTAAAACTCTTACCTGGCGAACAAAACTATTTGAGGTAGTATCAGATGACGTGCTTCCATCAGATCCTTTAAATCTGTTTTTCCTTCTGGCTCCTTTTCCATATGACTAAAAAAAAAAAAAAAAAAAAAAAAAGACAAATAAGATTATTATGAGACCCTTTAACAGGAATGTAGGCCTAGTTGCAGAAAATGTCAAAGACCAAAAACAAGTAATACATTGCCATCATGTAAGCATCATTAGAAAGTTAATACTGGTGGGACTCTACAAATCCATTTCCAATCAGTGATGATGTGGGGAGGAGAGTTTTCTTTTCTTTTCTTTTTTGAGACAGAGTTTCGCTCTTGCTGGCCAGGCTGGAGTGCAATGGCACCATCTTGGCTCACCGCAACCTCCGCCTCCCAGGTTCAAGTGATTCTCCTGCCTCAGCCTCCCGCATAGCTGGGATTACAAGCATGTGCCACCACGTCTGGCTAATTTTGTATTTTCAGTAGAGACAGGGTTTCTCCATGTTGGTCAGGGTGGTCTCGAACTCCCAACCTCAGGTGATCCGCCCGCCTTGGCCTCCCAAAGTGTTAGGATTACAGGCATGAGCCGTTGCACCCGGCTGAGGAGGGTTTTCTTGGCAAAGCATTTAATAACTAGTGAATTAAAACAATGGATGTCGTCTTATAAATGTGTTAGCAGGCAAGAGGCAAAAGCCTGTAATGATAAAGCATTTAAAAATAAGCATTTAAAACAGGAAGTTAAAGGTAAGATGATTTGTTTCGATAATAGGATTGGGCCAAGCAGAAACATCTAAAAATGAACTTGCTTTTCCTATTATGTTTACATTCAGAACCCTAAGAATAAACTACACATCAATCTATGTTTAATTCTAAGCATAGATGCAGTAAGGGCAAATATTAAACATTAAAATATAAATGAACAATAGCTTAACAGTTGAGTTTAGAGTTAAATGTAGCACACAGGTTAGAATCCTGGACATAGCAAATCTTCACCAAATTTCTTAACTTTTTCAAGCATCAATCTTTTCATCTTTAAAATGGGGTTAAGTATTAGATGAAATAATACCTCATAGGATTAAGTATGAAACGAAATAATGTATTTATAGCATTTAGCATAAGATCTAACACATGGTAAGGACTCAAAGTAATACATAAAAAGTGATACCTATACAGGGGTTGGAAGATGTGGAAACAAACTGGACTAAAGCGTATAACATGTTGACAATTATTAGGCTCATAGAGACTTCCTTAGATTATCAAAATTTACAACATTTATTTTTAAAATCATCACATTCAGGTTCTCAAAATGCTATTTGGTTATGCTTTCTCTATTCATATGCTTTTCATTAAAATATCTGCCATAATATATGTAGCACTTAGGCAAGCTGAAATCTATTACAAACATTTGCGTTATGAGTAATTTAGACGAATTTGCTATCAGTGAGAGGGTGGTATCATCTTAAAGCAAAAAATTTTCTTATATATGTTTGTTCTATTCAGAGTATCTAAGGGATTTATATAATACAAATGTGTTTCCATGACATTTAATTAACTCTCAACTTCATAAACGGCAAGAAAGCTACGCTGGTCTTTCATAATGTAATATACAAGGTTGTCCTCGGTTAACAGCTCATTCTTTTTACTTGTGTAAACATTATTCAGTAAACTGTTGAAAAATAACATTCTTTTAACCACTTTTTTTCTTTTCCAATTATTATGTAAAGGTTTGGACAGATGCATTTTCTAAGGCCTAAGAAGGCTAAAATAAAGTATGAAAATCTCTTTAAAATTTTCTTTTAAATTTATATTAACCTATGTGCAAAAATACTTATTACCTAGAAAGTATTTTTAAGGCCTGTTTCTTTGGGGGTGTAGCGACAATCTTTGTTAAATTCACCGTTTATCCTCATGAGGAACATGAATTATCTTTGAGAACAAAGACAAAATATAATCTCATCCCATTTTTTTTTTTTTTTTTGAGACAGTGTCTTGTGCTGTCACCCAGGCTGGAGTGCAGTGATATGATCATGGCTCACTGCAGCCTTGACTACACCCCACACCCTCTGGGCTCAAGCAATCCTCCCACCTCAGCCTCCCAAGTAACTGGAACTACAGGCACACATTGCCGTGCTTGGCTAATTTTTGTTTTTTGTAGAGACAGGGTCTCACTATGTTGCCTAGGCTGGTCTTGAACTCATGACTTTAAGCAATTCTCCCGCCCCAGCCTCCCAAAGTGGTGGGACTACAGGAGTGAGCTACCATGTCCAGCCTCCAGTACCGTTTTTAAATGAACAGAAAAGAGTATCTTCGCAATTCTATTGTCCTTTAATTTTAGCATTTTAGTGATAAATATGTCTCATTATCCAACTTCTTGAATGTGTAAGCTTTTTTGTGGTTGCTTACAATTGTACAACAGGCACTGTGAGAGCCACACAATGTTGAAGACATTCAGTCACAGAGGAGGTGGCTGTTCTCTGCAAGAAGTTGAACACATTTAAAAACTCACATTAATTTTTCCAGACCCCTGGGAATCCTGTTCATAAATGTTATTTCAGGCGTACTTAGCTACCTATGCAAAGTATATGTAATGAAATTATTACAGTTTTCAACTGTACTAAGATAGTTTATACACCAAACAACTATAGCACACTGAACTGCATGCATGCTGGTGATAGTTTTGAGAAAAAAAATTGTTCTTCAATTACTTAAGTGTATAAGGGATGATTTATTTAAAGTATTCATTTGCTCATGCCTTAAGAGTGTTAGAGCAAATCCCTATCATATATCATATTAAAAGACAAAATAAATATATATGCTTCATTATATCTCTATTCTGTTATTTTACTAATTTCCACAGGAATTTCTCTTCTAAAGTTTCTTTTTTTTTAAAAAACTGTAGAGTGATTACTTACTGACCAGTTATTTTGTTATTATAATAACAGTCAGGATCAGAAAACAAAAAAACATTTAAAGCATCTTTGGAAAGCTAATAGTCCATTTTCATATACCTTTAAAAATGTTAGTGAAAATTCATCCTGCTATTACAAAATTAAATTTATTTTAATCTAATGTGTATTTAAAATTAAGTCCATCTTGCTCGAAAGATTTGGTTTTCAGTTACTTGAAATCCTTGAAAATAAGGACTAGACTACTTCTTCTGAAGGAATTAAGGGGGGAAAAAAGTGAAGGCCAAACCTCTCCCAAACGGAAAAGACAGGGAAGATTAAGTGTTCAAATATTTAGCTGACTAAATTTGAAAAAAAAAATATATGTAATTGTTTTAGTTAATTTGCTACTTCAAGTGCAGCTACTTTTGTGAACAGTTTTTCTAAATATTTTTTACCAGCATTAAAATATATGAACGCCCAATATCTGAAACAGTTAATCATTAGTGCAGCCCAGGTTGTATAAGGAAAAGGGGAGACAGGAAAGGGGATTTGGCTGTAGTACAAGGTGTTACCTATAGATTCTCCCTGACACATGCAGGTCTCTGTGTCCTTCTTGAAAGAGTCCCAAAAGTCACTAATTTCCACTAATTGCTATTAGCTATATGAAGCTTAAAACAAATTATGTCACCACAGTAAAAAGAAAAAAAAAACTCTTATATTTATATTCCTTTAGTTGTTCCAAAACATCAAGCTAAGATTTCAGAAACTAGGGAAAAAAATTCTTAAGAAATTTCCAAAAATATATTAATGACTTATTAAAAAGACATTCAAAATCCATCATGATGTTAATATCAGCTTAGTGTGAATGAATATCCATCTTCCTTGACACGAAGTAACTTAAGAATGGACTCCAGTCTTAAAAATCAGCAAATAAATGTTGACCTTTTCACAGGTAATGAAAATCTAATTGCTGCATGATTGAAGGAGACAGGAATAATTAATTACAGAAGTTGTCAGTTAACTGGAGATTTTAGCCGTGCACTCAAAGTTGTCTTGGCAGCCCCTGGGGACAACCTGAAGAATGATGTGGCTTCTGTGCTTTTATGGTTATTGTGACACTTCTCCTACCTACAGATTACTTCCCATGAGCAAAATACTGACACTTAAAATTAGGCCGGGCACGGTGGCTCATGCTTGTAATCCCAGCACTTTGAGAAAGCAATGTGGGTGGACCACCTGAGGTCAGGAGTTTGACACTAGCCTGGCCAACATGGCGAAACCCTGTTTCTACTAAAAAATACAAAAGTTAGGCTGGGCACAGTGGCTCACACCTGTCATCCCAGCACTTTGGGAGGTAGAGGCAGAGGGAAACAGATCATTTGAGGTCAGGAGTTCAAGACTAATGTGACCAACATGGTGAAACCCCATCTCTACTAAAAATACAAAAAAATTCGCCAGGCGTGGTGGCGGACACCTGTGATACCAGCTACTCAGGAGGATGAGGCAGGAGAATCGCCTGAACCCAGGAGGTGGAGGTTGCAGTGAGCCGAGATCACGCCACTGCACTCCAGCCTGAGTGACAGAGCGAGATTCTGTCTCGAAAAACAAAAAAAAAAAATTAGCTGGCCGTGGTGGCATGTGCCTGTAGTCCCAGCTACTCAGGAGGCTGAGGCAGGACAATTGCTTCAACATGGAAGGTGGAGGTTACAGTGAGCCAAGATTGCACCACTGCACTCCAACCTGGGCTACCGAGTGAGACACCATCTCAAAAAAAAAAAAAAAAAAAAATTAGTCTCCATCTCTCTCAGTTCGTATTCATTGATGTTTATCCCTTTGAATTTCCAGACTTTCCTCATCTTATGACCTAAAACAAACAAAGCCAAAACTATCCAGAGAGAAATCATGTATCAAATCTCCTCATTTACCAATAGCTTAGTGTGAATAAGCTAAGGGTAAGATCCTTTACTAGGCAAGAAGTAGCTAAATGACATTCCTAGAAAAAAGAGAGAAGTAAGTTGCCTTTTATAATATGGCTCAGTTCACACAAAAGCAGAAAGGAACAAGGAGCCTGCATAAATAGAGTTCTTGGGGATGGGGGTGGGTGTCTAGCAGGTACAGGAGGGAGGAGGGAGGAAGGAGGAGGCCAGGAAGCAGAGATCTATCTGCCCAGTAAGGAGGAGCACAGGCAGGGAGAGCAGAAAGCCAGGAACAACACATGCCTTCTTCACAGTCTACCTCCTGCCAGGCTTGGAAAGATCAGTAAGACAGGCCCGGTTCCTTTAAGTGATGTCATAAGTAGTTTTCTCTGTCTGCAGTTGTGAAATAATGCATTGTTACAATTAGTTTGTAACATAACCATGTTATGTTATGTTTGACCTAGACTACGTGTAGGATAGAGACATGCCACAAAATTGTAGAGTATCACCATCCCCTATGAGGTTAACATATTTTGCTTAGCTTCTCTTGAAAGGGCCAAGGCTATATAATTCAAAGGAATTAAATACAGCAACAGGTAAATTGAGTCTTCACATAAAAAGAGAGAGAAAAATAAAATGAGCATGATATTGTAAGAACAACAAAACCTCAAATCACTCAGATATATTTCAAATTCTAAAACATACTCAGAAATTCTGATTGGCATGTCTGTAAATTTCTCCCATGTCACATTAGAAAAAAAAAAATACCATTCAAGAGGAAAGTGATGGTGGTTAAGAGTGAAGATTTCAGCAAAACATAAAGCACAGGACCTGTAACCACCAACTTTGGAGACTGCAGAAAACTCATTTGCACACGGGACCTAAGAATATTTCAGGAAAACAGTGTTGATGTAGTTGAAGAGCCACTAGAAAACAGCTGCTACTCTTTTTGGATAAAGCTCCTTGCTACAGCCATTCAGGATGTTGCCATCACCAGGCTGTATTACCACAACATGCTTGAAAAGCATCTGGCAGACTCGGCTGGGCTGGGACCAGCTGGGACCTGTTGCTAGGAGCAAAACAAACAGGCCCACTGGTTACTGTCTGTTCAGTTTCAGGTGCGACTGGAGGTGCCACTGACAATCTCTCTGAGGCCTAGAGTGCTGAGATACTGTTCTTGTTACTCCTCCGTTTCCTCTTCTGTTACCTATCAATCCCTGTCACCTGCTTCCCGTTCACCCAACCTTCACGCAGGAGCTATTCAATTCCCTGGAGAATTACCAGTTTCATACTTTAATGTTGCCCAATAGAAATGTCATATGGCCAAATATATCACTGAAATTTTCCAGCAGCCACATTAAAAAGGTAAACAGCAACAGGTGAAATTAATTGTAACAATGCATTTGTTTAACCCAGCATATCCAAAACATGGTCATTGCAACATGTCATCAATTTAAAATTTACTAATGAAGATGTGTTATATTCTTTATTTCATCTTAAGCCTTTGATATCTGGTGTGTATTTCACATTTACAGCACATATCAGTTCAGACCAGCCACATTTCAAGGGCTCAAAAGCCACAGGTGGCTAGCAGCTACCACAATGAACAGACAGATCTGGAGCTTGGAGAAAGGGTCCTCCATGAGCACCTGGACTTTGGAAGTAGACTGTGTCCAGGTTCACGCTGAAACTGTTCAACAGGTTACCTAAAAAGCAATGCAATTTTCTTAAATGGGGACTTTCAAGAATTTGCAGTTAGATTGCCATTCATTTCCCATGTAAGAAACGTATCCATTTTGGGCTGGGCATGGTGGCGCACGCCTGTAATCCCAGCACTTTGGGAGGCCAAGGCGGGCAGATCACCTGAGGTCAGGAGTTTGATACAAGCCTAGCCAACATGGTGAAACCTCGTCTCTACTAAAAATACAAAAAAATTAGCTGAGCATGGTGGCGGGCGCCTGTAGTCCTAGCTACTGAGGAGGCTGAGGCAGGAAAATTGCTTGAAACCAGGAGGTGGAGGTTGCAGTGAGCTGAGATAATGCCACTGCACTCCAGCCTGGGTGACAGGGTGAGACTCCGTTTCAAAACACAAAACAGAACAAAAACAAAAACAAAACAAAACAAAAACCAGGGCTTTGAGAAATGTATCATTTTGTTTATGGCAATGTACTGGGGCAAAGGGACCGGAATGTATCAGGATGCTCCCTCTCTCTAGACAGAATGATTGATACAGAAAAGGAAAATGGCAGAGTTTGCAAATCTACATCTTCTGCTTTCTTCATACAAATATAATACTATAATCCAGAGGTGAGGTAGAATGATTCCTAAAACCAATCATTGCTTTAGAGGTTCCATTTGTAAATAGAAACTCCATTTCTAGGTAGAACTGCCCAATAATTCTGAGTAGAATTACTCGGTGCCACATACAAGGAGGATGCTCTAGAGCCAGCCTCCTTTCTCAGGCAGTTTTTACTGCTGGTCTGTTCTGCCCAAACAGAGAGATGGAAGAGATGGCTTTCCCAAGCCTCACACAATCCTATGATGCCATGATTTATCAGATATAAAATAAACAAGGTAATGTTTCCCTCAAATAATGGGTGTGAGATGAACGCAATTCAAGTCAAATTGCTTTCATTTTTGGAAGGCAGAGAAAGCAAGGAGATGAATGTTGATGCAGTTGAATATTTATATCTCTTAAACTTGCTTTTAAAATCCATTCTGCCCTTTCTCTTCTCTCTCCTTTATCTATGCAATCACTTGCTAATTCCTGTGAATTGAACTTTGAAATGTTTGATACATAGAACTGTCATATCCATTATCTTTTCATCTCTTTTTCGCTTAGGCCTTATTACCTCGGCCCAAACTGTTACATCTGTCTGCTGCCTGGCAGCTTCACCTCTGGACTCCTAAGACTTGAAACTATCTTACAGAACATTTCCAAGTGAATATTCCCAAATGAGCTGCTATGTGGGTCCTCTTTTGAACTCCTTCCACAGTTCCCTGTCGCTCAATACACTAAAGATTCCAAGTCCCCAAGATGTAGTCTCAAATTGCTTTGTCAGTTTTACGCCTGTGTCCAATCTTGACCTTACCATGCTCTTTTTGAACTAGAAACGATAAATTATCCTGTAAGACTTCTTACTTCTGGGACTCTGTTTCATGTACGACTGCTTACCAACTCTCTCAAAAATATCTGGTGTAATCTGACCCATCCTTCAATTCTCTTTGCAAATGCCACCTCATCAATGAAGTCCTTACAGATTCCTCCAAATAGCGTGTTTATTATCCTTATTCCTTTGAAGCCATTTACTAGTCAGAACTTCTCTTCCAGCCCCTATACATATATCCTAATTGCTGCTACTGGAATATAAATTCTTTGAAGGCAGAAATTGTGTCTTTTCACATCAGAATCATTTCCACATTGCTGCTGTACAATAACTTGACTTACATTTAATCATTGTACATAAATCACAAAGTAAATTAGTATCTCTTATCTGAATGCAGTTATGTGAGCCCTGACTTTGATGTCCAGGAATTTAGGAACTCTATTTTTATCATAAGAATAAAAACTTTTCTAAAATATCCCTCAAGGAAGATCAAAGGCAAATGAGGGTCTAAATGTCCTTTCCTTTGATGGAGGACTCGAATACTGATAGTATTCAAGACCTTCATCCTAGAATAACCGAGGTCTCCGGGTACATTTTTCATTCTGTCTAACCTGGCAAGCATCTAGATAAAAATCAGGAGTCTAGAACAAATGCAAACTCTATTGGTTAAAATTCAGATCCTCTGGCAGAGGCCAGATGGGAATGTAGCTGGTTCATTACATGTCCCTACTCGGCTTGTGAAGCAAACAGCCCAGGGTGGACCAAAATCTAGCTGTTTTACCACTACAAAAGAAATAGATTTCTGATTACACAAGTCCTTGGTGTCCACATTCTTCCCCTTCTCAAGTCAAAGTGAATTATGTGTTTTAAGTTAGCACATTAATTTCCCAATGGTAAAAGAAAGTTCAATAAAGCTAGACTACTATGCCACTTGGAACTGCCATGATTACAATATCAAAATATCTAGAGCACTCATGTTCCACCTATCAAAACAACAGCAAGAAAACATTTGCCACCTTTATTAGCTTGTCACACTCCTGCCCCCACTACTACAGCAAATGATACTCTAACATGCTCTCTAGTGTGTGTATGTGTGTCTACGTATTAATATATAAGTATATATACACACACATATATATCTTACCGCAAATTAAAATCTGGCAAATGTAGGCTTGAAATCAACAAGCCAACACAGTTAAGCAAACAGACATTTCTCCAGAATGCTGCCTGAAATGTAACCAAGACCTCTTCACATCACTGGCCAGCCAACAGCCAGCCCGCAGCTAGGAGTCTGAAGTCATTTCCCTGCCGGGAGAAAAGTTGAGCGACTCCTCATCGCTGAGACCTGGAGGTGTCTGTAACCCAAACTGTACCTGCTGAAGCCTTACGTAAAAACGTAAAAACCACCTTGTCATTGCCCAGCGCCTACAACTGACATCTCCAATTTCACAACAACCTGCAGCGAAGCTGACTTTTTCCAGAAACCGCAAACACTCAACGGAGAGAAAGGGGATCCTGGAGATCCCTGAAATGGCTAACATTTCAGGGGAGACGGAAAAATAAAAACTTTCTTGTCCCCAGCTCACTCGCTTCTTAAGGGAAAGGCATGAGGTGGGACAGGCAAACCTTGGCAAGTGCCCGAGGGGACTGGAGAGCTGTCAGCCCCAGGTGCGCAGCGTGGTCCGGGCAGCTCTGGGGGGATCCGGCAGGGCACCCCCATATTCGCTCCCCTCCTGCCCACCTGCACCCCATCATCCTCACACCCACGCCCACCCCGGCTCGGAGCGTGGCCAGGAGAGTCGGCATCGTAGAAAGCGCTGCGGGAAGCGGGCCCCCTCCCGCCCACCCGGACTCACGATCTTCAGCAGGTCCAGTCCACTCCCCTGATTCATGTCTCTCCATGTGCCTCTCCCGGGAAGGGGCGAGGAGGGCCAGCTGGAGCAACCCGGGAGAAGTCTGGGAGGACTGGCAGGTCTCCCCCGCCCTTCCCCACTGGCTTTTCGGAAGCAGAGAAAAATGGAAGCCGAGGCAGAGCCAGGAAAAGGCGCAAAGGGGCAGGGTCCCCGGCGCCAGGAGAGGAGCAGAGGGTGGGCAGGCGACGAGGGGAGGAGGTGCGAGGCTAGAGATCCCTGCAGTGGAGGCGCCGGGAGAAC
This sequence comes from Homo sapiens, assembly GCF_000001405.40. Taxonomy (NCBI): domain Eukaryota; kingdom Metazoa; phylum Chordata; class Mammalia; order Primates; family Hominidae; genus Homo; species Homo sapiens. The sequence goes on along the minus strand of NC_000010.11, from coordinate 18,140,918 downwards.
CCGAGGTCGGTGCCCTGCCCGGCGGCTCACAAAGGAAGGAGAAGGCGCCGCGCTCTCGCTACCTGTGCGGCGGCTCCGAGCGCCCCCGCGGGAGCCACGTTCTCTAGCAGTTCCATCTGGATCTCCTGCGCCACCGCCGCCGCCGCTGTGGGAGGCGACTTGGACATGTCCCTTTGGACCATTGGCGAAAAGTCGGCTCGGAGCGAAGCAGCCAGCCCCCGGCGGCGGGTCCCCTCCTCCTCGCCCCCGCCTCCCCGCGCTCTGATCGGCTCTGGGGGCCGCCCAGGGCTCAGGCCCGGCCGTTCTCGGCGCAGCGCCCCGCAGCGCCCCGGGACTCGGCGCCCTGCTGCCAGGCGCTCAGTGCGCGGGACGGGGCCGGGGCATCGGGCGAAGCGAGCCGCTCGGGAGGCGGGACGCGGGGGCGCGGCTGCGGTGCCTGGGAGAGGGGAGCCCTCAGCGGGGCAGCCGGGGCCGGGAGAGCGGGCGCAGCGCGGCGGGGATCGGAGCCGCGGGCGCCGGGAAAGGTCCTCGCCAGGAGGGGAGGGAACTCCGGGAGCGCGAGCCAGGGGGAGGCGCGTCGGAAAGCGAGAGTGACAAGCAGCCTACAAGCCGAAAAGTTCCTCGCGGGAGGCGCGCGCCGCGTGGGCTCCGACTCAGCCGCTGCGCGTCGCCGTGGCACACAGGCTGAAAAGTTTGCGAAGCCACAGAAGCCAGGCCCGGCGCTCAGGGGGCCTTGATCCTGTTCCCATGGCCCCAGACCACCCCTCAGGAACCCTTAGAGCAGATCTCTTAACTTTGGAGGGGAAGGACGACGGAGGCTGGGTTCCTACACTGAAAGTTTTAAATTTGTAAAGCCTGCTGGCAGCCCGGGAGAGCAAATGTCTGCAAAGAACATCTTCTGGGCAGCTGAAAGCCCTTGCTAATGTCAGTAATAAGGATCCAGAGAAAGAAATGGCATTGATAAAGATCATCAGGTGATCCCACCTGAATCTGCAGCTGGCCTCGTCAACTAGGTGGGAATCCACCCAACCTGAGACCGAATGTTTTGCTTTATGACTGCTGTCTTCATCTTTGCCAAATTAAATTAGCACTTCTTTCCAAACATAATTGAAGTTTGTTGTTGTTGTTGCTTGTTGTTGTTTTAGACGGAGTCTCACTCTGTCGCCCAGGCTGGAGTGCAATGGCGCGATCTCAGCTCACTGCAACCTCCGCCTCCTGGGTTCAAGCGATTCTCTAGCCTCAGCCTCACGAATAGCTGGGATTACAGCCACAGGCCACCAAGCCCAGATAATTTTTGTGTTTTTAGTGCAGACGGGGTTTCACCATGTTGCCCGGGCTGGTCTTGAACTCCTGACCTCAAGTAATCCACCGGCCTCGGCCTCCCAAAGTGCTGGGATCACAGGGGTGGGACACCACGCCAGGCCAGGGTTGAGGTTTTTCTATAGGGGTGAAAAGTCTTAGTGTCACATTTTTGACAAAACAAGCACTTCCTTAAGATCCAGAATTCTTGATAACAGGATAGTGACTATGGTGAGGGTGTTTCACTTACAACATTCCGTTCAGATAGTCCCAAGGAGCCACATTTTTACATGATTGAGTGCAACTTATTTCAACAAATTTTACTACAGTGGAAACTTCTGTAATGAGTTTTCCAGGCATTTTTTTTTTTTTTTTTTTGAGACAGAATTTCACTCTTGTCACCCAGGCAGGAATACAGTGGCACGATCTTGGCTCACTGCAACCTTCGCCTCCTGGGTTCAATCCATTCTCCTGCCTCAGCCTCCCGAGTAGCTGGGATTACAGGTGCACGCCACCACAGCCGGCTAATTTTTTTGTATTTTTAGTAGAGATGGGGTTTCACCACGTTGCCCAGGCTGGTCTCGAACTCCTGACCTCAGGTGATCTGCCCGCCTCTGCCTCCCAAAGTGCTGGGATTACAGATTTGAGCCACTGCATCCAGCCTAATTTTTGTATTTTTTAGTAGAGACAGGGTTTCGCCATGTTGGCCAGGCTGGTCGCAAACTCCTGACCTCATGATCCGCCCACCTTGGCCTCCCAAAGTGCTGGGATTACAGGTGTGAGCCACCGTGCCCATCCAGCTCCAGAAACCTATTTATATGTTATTTTGTAACAACAAACTGAAAGTTTGGTATATTGAAATACACATGCAAAAATTTACTATAATAGGCTTCAACTGCCTTCTATAGTTTACTATGATATATTAAATTACATGAGATACAGTACTTTTCTCCTCAAAGATAAGCATAGACATTTTAAACCTATCATCTCCACCATAGCACTGATTTGCGCCAGGCTTAAAGAATGGGTCTTGATACAGTTAAAGATTTAGCCATAAAGCATCATTGATTTTCCTAAACTTTGGTATTAAAAATGCCACTTTTATGGGCTACGGACACAAATAGAAAATTCTCAAAAGAAGATATACAAATGGCCAACAAACATATGAGAAAATGCTCAACATCAATAATGATCAGGGAAATGCAACTCAAAACCACAAAGTGATACCACCTTACCCCTGTAAGAATGACCATAATCAAAGAATCAAAAAACAGATGTTGGCATGGATGCAGTGATCAGGGAACACTTCTGCACTGCTGGTGGGAATGTAAACTAGTACAGCCACTATGGAAAACAGTGTGGAGATTCCTTAAAGGACTAAAAGTAGAACTACCATTTGATGTAGCAATGCCACTACTGGGTATCTACCCAGAGGAAAAGAAGTCATGATTCAAAAAATATACTTGCACATGCATGTTTACAGCAGCACAATTCACAGTAGCAAAATTGTGGAACCAACCCAAATGCCCATCAATCAACGAGGTGATAAAGAAACTCTGATATATATGATGATGGGATACTACTCAGCCATGAAAAGAAATAAATTAACAGCATTTGCAATGACCTGGATGAGATTAGAGACTATTATTCTAAGTGAAGTAACTCAGGAATGGAAAATCGAACATCATATGTTCTCACTGACATGTGGGAGCTAAGCTATGAGGATGCAAAGGCATAAGAATGATACAATGGACTTTGGTGACTTGGGGGGAAGTGTGGGAGGGGGCACGGGATAAAAGACAACAAATATGGTGCAAGGTATACTGCTAGGTTGATGGGTGTACCAGGTTCTCACAAATCTCCACTAAAGAACTTACTCATGTAACCGAATACCACCTGTACCCCAATAACTTATGGAAAAATAAAATTAAAAAAATTAAAATGCCACTTTTATTTAAATTTTGCTGAATGTTAAACAGCAGCACTTAAATATTGGTTTGTAATAATTTCTAAAATGGGAACATTTTGAACAGCAACAATCAGCCATGCTTTTATATGTATGCCTGTATGTATGTGTGTGTGAAAATGGAAAAGAAATTGTGTTTAAAGTTTTCGACTTATAGTCTACTTTTGCCCCATGCTCTGTTGATAATATCACTGTTTTAGGCCTACTCATTTAATCAAACTGTGAAGTTTTCTTGAGCATGTGTTTAAATCTTAGGGAAAACATTAAATCCATTTCAGACTGTAAACTCTGTGTGGACAGGAACCACACTTATTCTCTAGGACACATTCAGAATCTGGCAAGTTGCCCTCTGAGTTCTTTCAATAGTCATCCAATAAAGTATGAATCAAGCTTCTATTTTGTGCCACCTGATGAGCACAGCCAACAAAGACCAGGTTACCAGCTCCATGGGGCTTACAGTCTTGCTAGTTAGCACTTAAAAGCCAATTAATAAATGAAGGAAAGAAGGGAGGGAGGGAGGGAGGAAGGAAGGAAGGAAGGAAGGAAGGAAGGAAGGAAGGAAGGAAGGAGAAAACAAAAGAAGAAACATTATTTAAAAAAAAACACCAGGTTTGGTGAAACTGAGTGTTTTCTCATGATGTCTGTCCAGTTTCTTATAGCATGCTTATTTGTGCATTCGCTTTCAATTAGGACCATTTGGGAAGTAGAATTTCATCTTTCATCAGATGTTTAAAGAGACCGCAAAAAAATCAAAACCTTGAAAATAATTTTAATAACGCTTATAACCAGAGGGCAAGTAAAGTTTGAATTAAATGTTCAAATGTAATACAATATATTCATTTCATATAATTCATAATATGAACTCCCTGTTTTTTTATGTTTCTCCCTACCACTAGATAGGGTTCCTTGAGGGCAGTGATGGCGTCTTTTTCATCTTAGTATCCCCAGCACCACCCAGCATGGTGTCTGCCACTTAGTTAGAACGTGAAAACATTTGTTGTCTAAATGAATGCATGAATGTTGAATGACTTCTTGCGTCTTAAAACACAGCATACAACTTTGCCAGTTTTAACGTACAATGACAACATTTACCTAAGCCTGACTCCCATGAGAACATTATACTACTTCTTCCTTTATAACTCAAACTAGTTTAATTAGCATGCATTGAACACTAATCCAATACAATGTACCCATTCAGACTCTTGTCTGGCTTGTAAAAGATTTCAAACACAGAGTAACAAAATGTTACTCCTGAAAAAGGGAGCAAAATCAGAATAAACAGAATAAAAAGACTTGGAAAATGTATAGATGCCTTCAATCACGGTTGATCTTGTTTTTAAGATTCTTTGACTTGCGCAATATTTAAAAGCCACAGAGGAAAGCAAAAATTTGGTAAGTAAAGCCTAATTCTTTTCATGTTAAAAGTTAAGCAGATGCAAGAGACTCCAGCAATAATGGATGTGCCATCGACGCATTCAAATGCAGATGACTAATTTATTCAAGCTGTATGTTAGCTTCCTTGTGCTCATTAGTTGTTGTAATGGACAGACATATTCTGGGAATTACTAATGCTCTGAAATAGGAACAGGGGCTGGTAAGAGACACTGGCTAATGAAGCCAGACGTTTTAAAAGATTATTTTTTCTGTAAGTGGAAGAAACAGTGATTACAAGTGCTTTATTCTTCCTCTCCTGCTTGCAGATTTGTGACTACATTTAACACCTTAAAGAAAGAGCTTTTTAGGACAGATACACATGTATGATTTCTCATTTTACTCAGTAAATCATTTTACACCTCACTGAAAGTCCTGAATTTCCACCACTATTAATAGCATTTTCATAAGGATATATAGCTGTATTGGCCACTGGCCTGACTTGGTATGATGCATTCCATGAAGTTACATGTTTGCTTTTTGTAAACCTATGCCCTGAATTACAGACTGCTATTTAAAAGCATATAAAGATGCAAGCAAATCCATTATAATGGGATTGAATGTATCTGTATGGATAGTAAAAGTTTAAAACTGAAATGTACAAGTGTTCAGAGAAAGCCTAATTTCACTTCCAGAGAAAAGACTTCACAGAAATGAGATTCCATGAGTTCCTAAAACTACCCAGGAGAGCACTCTGGAATATTCAATAGTATATAGCACTTTTTAGTTTATAAAGCACATTCATTTATGATCTATCTGATTTATTTCTCATCTAAACCTTGTTATAACAACTGATACTTTTGTTTACATATGAGGCGCCAGGCTTCCTATTAAGAACTTAAATGCATTGTCTTTGCCTGTGAGGTAGATATCACTATTCCTCTATGTTAATTAGGGTAAGTCAAACTGCTATAACATACAGTCTGAATATTCAATGGATTTGAAAGAAATGTATACTGGAGTAGAAGTTCCCCATTAGAAATAGCTCTGCATCATGCTGACATTTAGGAACCGAGGCTTGAGTAACTAGCTACCATCTTCACAATGCAACCTCCCACGTCACCATGTTACTCCCACCGGGGTTACTTACAAGGAGGAAAAAGGACATTGGTGCCTTAGGTGATGGTAGATGGTGGTGCATGCAAGTTTGTATTGTCCAAACTTGGAAGTGGTATACATCTCTTCCACTTATATTTTATTGGCTAGAACTCTGTCACATGACTAAAGCTGCAAGACGGGCTGAGAAACACAGTCCAATTGTATGCCTTAGGAAGAAAGAGTGGACTTTGAAGAGCTAGCAAGGACTGACTTAACCAAGCCTAAATAGCTAAAGGTGACAGAGGCGGGACTTAACCGCACGTCTTTTAAACACCAACTCTCAGGCTCCTTTTCCATGCATCACAGTTGTCTGTCTGGTAGACCTCGAAGAACCCTGCCACTCAGGTTAAGACTGGGTTGACGGTTGGAGAAACAGATTTACATAGTTCTTTTGTGTGCGTGCTGGAATGTGATGACTACAGCAATATACTTACTAGAAGTGGGGCCGAGCTCACAAACAGCTATGAATAGCAGAAATGTTATTAATTTATGGCATCTTGTGTGTATATGTGTACGCCTGCTATGACCCTGGCAATAGGGACAACAGTATTGAACAAGGTGTGGTTCCTGTATTACAAAGCACAGTAGATCAGGGAAGACACAGATAAAGTATGATGAATACGAGTGCAAAATACTATGGGAGAAATTTTAAAGATAAGGAAAAATGTTCTAGACAAAAAGAAAATTCAGAGACGGAAGGCAAGAAATTCAGTACAGCTTGAAAGTACAGTAGGAAGGTGAAAAGATGGGTAGGCATTGATTATGAAGAATATACAGCTTTTCATATCTTTTGCTGTCATGTGGATCCAACCTATCTTTTCATAGGAATGTTCCATTCATGGGCATTGCCTTTGACCTCCCATGCCTTTTCTTGTCAAGCGATCTTAATTTTTTCCTATGAAAGATACACATACTCACACCCATACCCACGTGTGTGTTCGTATCATACGCATGTACACTAATGAAACCCACTTAGTAAGAAACACATTTGAATTTACATATTCAAAGTAGTCAGCTTATCTGCAGCTGATATTCCTAGTTGCTCATACTCCCTTGTTACAAAAACTGTTTTTAGCTGAAACGGTTGTAAGGTGGAATGTCAGACAAACGCAAATTACATTACATTGCTTAGAGTGTTTTTCATGTTTCTATATCCTTACCAAGTGAAATTCTGGATTTGTATTTTACCTTTCAGTTTTCTCATTTTTGCTTCATGTATTTTGAAGCTCTGTTATAAAGATTATTATAGCTTTGCCATGAATTGACCCCTTAATGATTATGTAGTGTCTGTCTTTATTTCTGGCAATATTCCTTATTCTAAAGTCTACTCGGATTTTAATGAAGCCATTTCAGGTTTCTTTTGATTACTACTTCCATGGTATACTTCTCTATCCTTTTACTTCCATGCTATATATCTTTATGTTTATAGTGGGTTTCTTGTAGACAGCATATAGTTGTATTAGCCTTATTATCTAATATGACAGCATGAGTTTTAAGGGGATTGTTAAATACATTTACATGTAACCTAATTATTGATATAATTTGATTTAAATATAATATTATAATAATATTTGTTTTCCTTATTCTCATCTGTTCTTTGGTCTTTTTTTTCCTCTGTTTTCCTGTACTGCTTTGTAGTACTGAGTATGTTTTAGAATTATTTTTAAAAATCTCCATGACTGGGTTATTAGTTACACTTTATTTAAACATTTTTCATGGTGGCTTTAGGGTTTACCATATATATTTTTAACTTACTACAGCCTACATTCAAACAATATACTTCTTCTCCAATTGCATAAGAATCTTTAAATAATATACTGCCAAGGATGATGGTTTCCAGCTTCATCCATGTCCCTGCAAAGGACATGAACTCATTCTTTTTTATGGCTGTATAGTATTCCATGGTGTTTATGTGCCACGTTTTCATTATCCAGTCTATCATTGATAGGCATTTGGGTTGGTTCCAAGTCTTTGCCTTTTTAAACAGTGCTGCAATAAACATACGTGTGCATGTGGAGAAACCAAACACTGCATGTTCTCACTCATAAGTGGGAGTTGAACAGCGAGAACACATGGACACAGGGAAGGGAACATCACACACCGGGACCTGTTGGGGGATGGAGGGTAAGGAGAGGGAGAGCATTAGGACAAATACTTAATGTATGTGGGGCTTAAAACCTAGATGATGGGTTAACAGGTGCAGCAAACCACCATGGCACATGTATACCTATGTAACAAACCTGCACGCTCAGCACATGTATCCCAGAACTTAAGTAAAATAAAATTAAAAAATAGTCTACTTACAAATGTTCCTTCCACTGTGTTATTCTGTGTTTTATTTCTGCGTATGTTATAAACCTGACAATGCTTTATTACATGTTTTGCTTGAACCAGTGATGCTTTAATGATGTTAAACATTTTTAAAATAGTGTATATTTACCATGATTTTTACCACGTCTAGTATCATATTCTTTTATTTTGGTGTGTACATCCAAATTTCCAGCTAGTATCATATTCCTTCTGCCTAAAGAATTTGCTTTAACATTTCTTATAGTACACATCTGCTGGAAATGAATTCTCTCAGCTTTTGTTTGAAAAAATATTTATTTCACCTACTTTTTAAAACATGTATCTTCTCTGGTTATAGAATTCTGCAATGACAGTGTTTTTGTTTTTGTTTTGTTTTCCTTTTAGTATTTTAAAGATATTGCTGTGGCTTGTGTAGGTTTTCACGTGATATCTGCTATAATTCTTACTTTTGTTCCTCTGTAAGTGAAGCTTCTTCTTTATCTGAGATTTTTAGCAGTTTGACTATAACGTGTCTAGGTGTTTTTGTTGTCTTTAACTTTCATTTATATTATATTATTTTATTTTCTATATTACCTGGCCATTTCTAATTTATTAATGTCTACTCCTATCTTTATTGTTACTGTTAGTCTACACACTTTGGGTTTAAGTTGCTTTCTTCTAGGTACTTAAAGTATAAATTTAGATAATTGATTTTTAAACCATTTAACTTGTGAGCTATAGTTTGCCAACACTTAATATAAAGGAATAAAAAATAGAATGTATACCATTTAAATGTTTCATTAGAAAAGAAAAATAAGGTAAACATTAAGATACAAAAATTATGTTGCATATGATTTTAAACCAGATATTTTTCTTCTAAAATTTAAACATTTTCTATTAAAATGTAAATGTCAATACAAGTTGTAACTAATGAATATGAACTGTTTTAAGTAAAATTATAAATAAAACCAAAGTGTTACCTACTATTTTGAAGTTTAAATATTAAGATTTTTAATTAAAACTATTTGCAATTGTCTTACTTGCAATCTAATTACAAAGGCAAAGAATCCATATCACATTTCACACATTACATCTATGTATACAAATTTGGTAACATTTAGAAATTTGGTAACATTTAGTAATTTAGTAACATTAAGCAACTCATTTAAAGCATAAAACCAGTCACTCAACGTTACTAAATTTCCACAGTCACCATGTGCGACTATTTCAAACAAGAAGCTAATTGGTTAGTGTCTTCAGAATCAAGAAATTAACTAGCACACACGTAGTAAATTACCCAGGCCGTAAATGGCTAATGCTTCTGGATAAAGTTGTACCTTTGAAGTTCTTCTCGTGGATGGGCAGTTACTTACATTTCACCCTTTCATGTTTGGTCACTCTGTCGTCTGTCCGCTCACTAGGCTAACTCCAACTTCTGCCCCAGAAGTTTACCCTCACCATCCTAATGTGGGATGAAGGCCTTCCCTTACTATTTGTATTTTGCATTTCCCACACTGAGTAAAAATGGCCATTTGTCTGTCTTCAGCACTATACTGGCTGGGCAGGGAACTTCTTTCATTTTTATCCTCCTTGATACCTAGTACCACACTAACAATTCATTAAACTAAAGCAAACATATGCAAACATAGTTATTTAGAAGCAACTAGAGAGCATTTCTGTCTTCTTAATCTGTTACCAAAGCATAAATGAAGTCAATGTTTGATTTTAATTCTTTGCCTGCTTTTCTGCACATAATATATGACCTAATCTCTAGAGTACTGAGCTATAAACACCGGAGAAGGACAATATGCAGCCCACTCGCACTTGGTAAATAAGATGTTCAAACTCTCATAGCCCTACAGGGGAATAAATTGTTTGGACTTAGGATATGGTGATGTAAAGATGAAAAAGTCCCAAGATAAAATTCCATTTTCCTCCCAAACACAGATGCCTCTTTGTTAACTTGTCTTTCACCACCCGCTCACTGCTGCTTCAGTATCTCTCTCGTCCCTCCACTGTCCCCTGGATCATTCTTTGCCTCCACAGCCAGAAATAAACAAAACATCCCAGGAAGCACAGCCAGCTGTCTTTTCCTCGGGTTCTAAGTCCGTAAACAGGTATTCCCTGGACCTCTGCATTTAGTGGTCAATTTTCACATGGCTAGCTTGTCGTATTATCAAATTGAGGAAGGTCTTTTAAGTAGATCACCACCACAGTGGTATACTAGAACCGCTTAAGTTTTGTCTACCTTGTTTAGACTGCACATAAAAAAGAAGCTCTAGGCCGGACATGGTGGCTCACGCCTGTAATCCCAGCACTGTGGGAGGCTGAGGCAGGCAGATCACTTGAGGTCAGGGGTTCAAGAGCAGCCTGGCCAACATGCTGAAACCCCATCTCTACTAAAAATACAAAAATTAGCCAGGTGTGGTGGTGCGTGCCTGTAATCCCAGCTACTCAGGTGGCTGAGGCAGGAGAATCTCTTGAACCCAGGAGGCGGAGGCTGCAGTGAGCCAAGATTGTGCCACTGCACTCCAGTCTGGGTGACAGAGACTCTGTCTCCAAAAAAAAAAGAAGCTCGATACCACTAATCATTGGGGAAATGCAAATGAAAACCATAATCAGATACCACTTCACGTCCGTTAGGATGACTGTTTTCAAAATAACAGAATATAACAAGCGTTGGTGAGGATATGGAGAAATTGAGACCCTGTGCACTGCTGTTGGGAATGTAAAATGGCGCAGCCTTTATGGAAAACCATATGGCAGTTTGTCAAATAATTCAGACAGAATTACTGTATGATCCAGCAACTCCACTTCTAGATATATACACAAAATTTATTTAAAAAGCAGGGACCCTAAGAGATATTCATACACCCATGTTCATAGCACCATTATTCACAATAGACAAAATGTGGAAACAACCTATACATTCATCAGTGGATGAATGGATAAACAAAATATGGCATATACATATAAAAGAATATATTTGTATATCCTCTTTGGAGAACTGTCAAGTCCTTTACTCATTTTTAAACTGCATTATTTGTTTTTATGTTGTGAGTTGCAGAGGGTTTTTTTGTTTGTTTTTGTTTTGAGACGGAGTGTCACTCTGTTGACAGGCTGGAGTGCAGTGGCATGATCTCGGCTCACTGCAACCCCCGCCACCTGGGTTCAAGCGATTCTCCTGCCTCAGCCTCCTGCATAGCTGGGATTACAGGCACCCGCCACCGTGCCTGACTAATTTTTGAATCTTTAGTTGAGACAGGGTTTCACCATATTGGCCAGGATGGTCTCGATCTCCTGACCTCGTGATCCGCCCGCCTTGGCCTCCCAAAGTGTTGGGATTACAGGTGTGAGCCAGTGCACCCAGCTAGGAGTTTTTAATGAATTCTGAATAATAATCCTTATCAGATATATGATTTGCAAATATTCCTTCCATTCCGTGGGTTAACTTTTCATTCAACAAAGTGAAAAATGACCTTTGACCACAAAAACATTATAGTGTCCTTCGATGCACAAAAGTTCTCAATTTTGTTGAAGACCAATTTGTATATTTTTTCTTTTGCTGCCTATTACGAATCCAATGTCATGAAGTTTTCCCCTGTGCTTTTAAACAGTTTTATAGTTCTAGGTCTTACATTTAAGTCTTGGCTTCCTTGTCAAAAATCATTTGACCATATATTCAAAGTTTTATTTCTTGGCACCCTATTGTTTCACTGGTCTAAATGTCTGTCTGTATGCCTGTACCACACTGTTTTGATCACTATATTCAGTGTTTTAAGACTATGGTGCTATCTTTCTGCAAAAAACCTAGAAGGCAATGAGCACATCGTGTGTGTGTGTGTGTGTGTGTGTGTGTGTGTGTGTGTGTGTGTGAGACAGAGTCTCATTCTTTCGTCCAAGATGGAGTGCAGTGGCGCGATCTCGGCTCACTGCAACCTCTGCCTCCTGGGTTCAAGCGATTCTCAGCCTCAGCCTCCGGAGTAGCTGGGATTACAGTCATGCATCACCATGCCCGGCTATTTTTTTTTCTTTTGTATTTTTAATAGAGACAGGGTTTCACCATGCTGGCAGGCTGTTCTCGTACTCCTGACCTCAGGTGACCCGTCCACCTCAGCCTCCCAAAGTGCTGGGATTACAGGTGTGAGCCACTGCACCTAACCAAGTACATCATTTTTATGGGTGAAAAGCACCATAGACAGATATTTATTATCTGAGAAAAAAGATAAGGAGTTATTATTGCATCAAAATTCAATACCTGCAAAGTAACCTGTAGTCTTAGTTTCTCTTACCAACTGTGTTTTTAAGCAATTTAAATTGCTGTCAAATAATTTGAAACTGCATGTATAACATATAAAAATTAACTCAAAACATTCACAATTACAGGCATTTAAAATGAGTATCTTTACATTCCTTTGGAATTCACGATCTCAATTTTAATAATTGTCAACAATTTACCCACCTGATTTTAAAACATGCATTCTAACTTCATTAACTTTAACAAAATAATTTCAGAATGATCAGTTTGTAGTATGTCTTTAATCTCTTTATAAACCTCAGTTTCAACCTACTGAAAAACCACCAATTCTCACAGTGCTCCTGGAAGACAACTGAGTCTTTCCATTTTTTTTTTTTTTTTTTCAAACAACAGGAGACCAAGTTGCGACATAAAGCCTCAAATGAGCTAGGTACAGAGAAAATACAGAACTTCGCATTCCCAATTTTAGTTGTGTATCTTCTCAGATAATTAGCAATTAGGAAATTGTATCTATGAGAAAGAGTAATAGGAATGGGGTGATTTAGAGATGACCCTTTATGATCATCTTTAACTATATAAAGAATTTTGTATGGAGTACAGTCATTAGCCCATTCCGTAAAGCATGGAAAAAGGCTCATGTTTATCTTCAAACCCCATGGTACTCTTCTTTAGGAAGATCCATTTTTCTGATAAGTCCTCCTCTTACCCCTGCCTTTCAAAAACCTAAAACATGGTAAAAGTATTAAGCAAAAACCTCGCTGAGATGGCTTTATGATAGAGATTTTTTCTTTAAATGGGAGAACTAATGTTCAATAATTGTTTACTCTGTGTTATGCAGTAAGGTGTATATAAATAATCTCATGCTATCTTCCTCATATGCTTGGAGTTATTATCATCACCTTACAGTTAAGGAACCTGAGACTCAGAAAAGACACATTTTGTCTCCAAACATTCAGTTAATAACCAGTAAAATTCTTATAAAATTAAGAAAAACATCAACCCCTATTTCAATAGGAAACGAATAAATACTAGTGTCAACCATGAAAGGAGCTTATTTTTATAATTCAACTTCAATCGTATTACAGATGTATCCCTAGCATTTGTTATGATTCCTTCCTCATGTCTATTTTTAGCTGTTCCCACCATATTCATTGGCAAGCAGATCCACAGTAAAATGCCACTCAAGCTGTCAGGGTAACATTCTTAATTTTTTTGTTATGTTTTTAATTTTAGTTACTGTAGTTCTAGCACTTTTTACTGGATGAGTCTTTATTTACATGGCCTAAGGTTTTCGTTTTAATAAGATGATATGGGAACAAATGTTCACCATTTTCCAAATCTCTAAGACATATTTAGAACAAAAATTTTCTGGCAATTCCTACAGTATTTAATGACATATTTGTGAACCTCTGTTTTTTATTTTAGGCTAGCAAATAACTTGATAGTTTAACTTTTTTATTGATGTAAAATTTACATAGCAAAAAAATTTAAAGTGTGCATTTTAAAGTATACAATTCAGAGGCACTCAGTACCTTCAGTGTTACATAACCATCACCTCTACCTGGTTCTGAAACGTTTTCATCACTCCAAACAGAAACTCCATTTTGATACATTGGAAAGTGTGACTTGTCTAACTTTGTTATTCTTTTTCAATGTTGTTTTGGCGATTTGGGCTCCCTTCCAATTCCATATGAATTTTAGGATCAGGTTTTCCATTTCTGAAAAAATGCTGTTGAGATCTTGATAGGGATTGCATTTAATTTGTAGATGGCTTTGGGAAACATTGACATCTTAATGACATTGAGTGTTCCAGTCCATGAACATCGGATAGCTTTCCATTTATTTAGGTCTTAATTTCATTTAGCAATATTTGGTATTTTTCATTGTTCAAGTATTATACACCTCTGTGGTTAAATTTATCAAGTATTTATTTTTATAATATTCTACCGTACATGATTTTTTCCTTAGTATCATTTTCAGAGTACTTACTGCTAGAGTATAACAATACAACTGATTCTTGTATGTTGACATTGTATCCTGCAACTTTGCTGAATTTTTTATTAGCTCCATTAGTTTACAGATTCTTCAGGAGTTTTTATATATATGATCATGTTATTGGCAAACAGATAACTTTGCTCTTCTTTCCTGATTTGGATGCTTCATATTTCTTTTTCTTGCCAAACTGCTCTGGCTTAGACTCAAATATAATGTTGAATAGAAGTGGCGAGAGTGGGCATCTTTGTCTTTTTTCTGATCTTAATGCAAAAGCTTTCAGTCTTTCACCATTGAGTATGCTGTTAGCTATGGGTTTTCATAAATGCTTCTTATCGTACTGAGGAAATTCCTTTCCATTTCTAGTTTAATTATTTTAAATATTATAGCTGCTTCAAGGTCAGCCCTATTATAATAAGACCATTCATCTGCATTCTGAAGCAATTTAAACCTATTATCTTTATAATTTAAATCTTAGTTTATAGTATGGGTAGCCTAGATCATGTTATTATTATTCCTATAACCTAGAAATATGTAAACTCATGGAAATAGGTCCATGACAGTGTTCATATAACAACCTTCATATTTTTGGAAAAGGACAGAAGCCTACTTTAATAATACCTTCTTGATTATTCGGAACAATTATTTTTCTGTTTAATATGACATAAAGTGTTTTGTAGGATAAATGCTTTCATTACTGTGCAGATCCAGTTTTCTGTCAGAACTACCTACAAGTGATAAAAAATAAATACATGTAATTTATAAATAATTGTTCATTTAGCATCCTGATAATTTGGGAAGGGAGAGAAACTGCCCTATGCATCTCAAAGCAAGACACATTTGCAATTGTAGAACTGGGCTTTCCCAAATTATTAGCTAAGTTAGTAGTGTTTTGCTTTCATTTGTCTCACCAAATTAGGCCATACAAATCTAGCCTTTTTTTTTTATTCTTGGTCATAGAAAAGTTAATAAAATTGAAATTTCTAAGTCTCCCCACAATAGTTGAGTTATAGAATATTCCAGATAGGCCAGAAAAAAGCATTTGGCTGTTATATAGAACTCTGGCTCACTGAATACAGCTTTCAGTATATCATTCTTAGAACTATCACAGATTTAAAGTGGACAATTAGTAAAGTAGGTAATTTTTCAGAAAATAATTTGGGGAAAATAGAAAGTTGAAATGATTAAGCTGTCTTGACCAATTTTTGCAAGTGCTAATCTGGAGACTAATTTGGCCTAATTTTCTTCTCAGTCCTCACCCTTACCAGCTGAGACCACATGGGTAAGGCTTTCAGCATCCTAGCTCTACAGTAAGGGGTCTGGCCCAGGTGACATAAAACCTATTCTAGATGCCAGGACAAAATTTGTACTAAGCATGTGGCCTTTGTTTATGTGGCCTATGTTTATAATTTAACACAAAAAAATTATTTGTGATGACTTAACAAAAGTAAAAATAGTTAAGTTAAAATTACCAATCCGACTTTAGTGGGTAACTCTGGCTATATATTTTACCTGTTACATCTTCTTTAAAGTATATCAGAATTAAAGCATGAAATGTTGAAAATAAAAAGCCATTGTCAGAAAACTCTATCAGTCAGAGTTCTCAGGGGATGTAATACTTTTATTTATTGAATTCAGAGGAAAACTGAGGAGACATTGAAAAATCTTTCAAAATAGTTAAGTATTTTCTGACTTTGAAGTCCCAGGAAGTATCATCACTATGAACAATGATTATGGTAAAACTAGCCAGGCTGTAGGTGATTTTATGTACTGTTATTGTAAACAGATGTACTGAATTGATTCTCCCACCTCCCCTGTTTTCTGCCTTTTTCTAAGCATGTGGAAAAATGTTTCCAGTTAGATGAGGGTTTTAGGCATTGAAAGTTTAAAAGTGACATGTCTAAATCACAAAACACAATAGGCAGTTTCCCATGGTAATCTAGATAGTGTTTTTAAGATGACAGCTTGCCGCTGTGGCTCATTAGATTTAAACACAAATGGCCTTTGCCGCTTAACCTTAATGTCCTTCACTGTCAAATGAGGAAATTAGAGTAAATTTTTATTACTTTTCAAGGTTCCTGTCAGCTCTGAAATCCTATGTTTTTAAGAAGAATAGTTAAAAGCCAACGAACCACTCTTTCCGTTACCATTTGTTTGGAGATGCCTTCTTCAAAGGAAATAGTTTCTGAAAATAGATTCCCAGATCATTCAATATTTTTAGATCGTATTCCAAAGAAAGTATCAGAGAGAATCTAAAACCTGTATTATCATGTTCAATAATAACGTGTGCTGATGTATTTGGGAATATAGAAGAATATTTCCTTGAGCCTAATCTCTTACTACAGAATATAAGGAGTAAAGACATCACACATTTAGAAGTATTTTATGTTCTTCTTATAAGCCATCCAGATGCCAGGATTACTAGCTCTCTGAATTGCATACTTAAGGAAAATGTCTCAATCATACTTGAAGGCACCATAAAATGTCTTTAATTAGAGTGCTAATAATGGTATTTTCTGCTGATATAGTACATTAAATCCAAGTGGCCCAAAGGACTCTACAAATTAATGTAGCCTAATAATATTCAGCAACTAGATTTCACACTGCACATGAAGGACTTTGGGAGGAGTGATATACTGTTGTCACTGAAGCCATAGAAATAAAACAGACACAAAATGCCAGATGGCAATAGTAATATAGAAAATGCTTTTCTTTTGTCCTGAAAAATCCCAAAGGGTTTGGTAAATGTAAGTGAATATGGTAAACACAGCCCGCCTCTAGACTAGAACACAGAAGTGTGCCTTTGATCACACATGTTAGCATTACAGAACAGTTTGAGCAAGGGTTATGTTTACTTGAAACTGCAGCGAAGGATTCCTCAATGATAGAGATAAAGATCATGTTGGAATACTGATAATGCAGGACAGATGAGCCCCAAAATCGAGGCATAGCCCAAGAGGATTCTTGGCTTTGCCCAGGAGAGAATTCAAGGATGAGCCGGTGGTGTTAGACAGCAGCCTTTTATCGAACAGTACCATTCCTTATGGAGCAGGGCTAACTCAAAGGTAGTGCACCCAGTATGGGCTGTTGGCAACTGTATTTATAACCACTTATATTCCCTTTCAATTACATGCAAATTAAGGAGTGGGTTAATGCAAATGGAGGGGTGGGTTATTTAGCACTTTCTAGAAAAGGGGTGATCCCTTCTGGGTTATTGCTATGGAAAGGGTGGTAACTTCCAGGTTGTTGCCATGACATTTGTGAACTGTCATGGCACTGGCGGGAGTGTTCTAGGCTAATAAGCATTGAGGGTAGCTAGGGATCACTTTCCTTGCCATCTGCTGGTTCCTGCTGGTTTCTAGTGGCTTCTTCACTTCATCTGGTAGGGACCGGGAAATACGCCCTGCCAGTCTCCTGCCTCACTAAGAAATCATAGTTGACAAAAACAAGTACACAAATTAAACACGAAACAGCAGAAACATATTTCAATGAAATGTATGCACAATTTGAATGTTTTACATGTACTAAGTGCTCACTATGTACCAGGCACTGTGCAACTGCTTTGCAGATTATTTAATTTAATCCTTACAATACGTCTGTGAGGTGAGCCACATTATTATCCCCACTGTACAGATGCTCAGCAAGATAAGAAATCTTGCCCAAGGCTAAACAGATGATTGGCCACAAATATTGATAAGAAATGTATATATGTGTGTTTATATATCTATGTATGTATATGTATTGACTGGAGTGTAATCGTTTCTGCTATTGATATTAGAGATCTGTCTTGAAGTAATTTAATTTAAAAATGGATAAAGAAACAGGAATTCAAAATGGCAGCATTTTGTCATCATCTAGCATTGTAGTTGAATTTTAACCTATGAACCAAAAGAATGTTTTGAAAGAGAAGAAGGAAGGAAAGAAGAAAGGAGGTAGGGAGGGAGAGAGGAAGGAAGGGAGGGAGGGAAAGAAAGGAGAGAGAGCAAGAGGGTAGGAGATGAAGGACAGGGAACAGTCTGCTGAAACCTTGTTGAATCAAGGCAGTTATTTAATTAACGTCATAAGCCTGCTTTAAACAGGCCAGGTAGTCCAAGCCCTCACATATGAATAAAACCACAGTGTTCAAAGTGGCTCAATGCTTCAGGGCACTGGCTATGGCCTAGGTTTGGATACCCACAAATAGCACCCCACTCCATGTGGCTTTGCAGGAATGCCCCTCTGAAGATAGATCAGGCTTCTTACCTGTAAATTAGGAAAAATAATCTCTTCTTCTTGAAGTTGTGGGGATTAAGTGTATTAATAAACAAGGAGTTTAACAAATGGTAACCGGACTTAGATAATCATCATTCTTTTTCTTTGCTTTCCTACTGGAAGGGAGAAGAAATGATATTCTCTAAGGTTTGGTTGATTTCACTTATATGTGGGAGCAGTAACGAGACCAGAGTAGTAGAGGGGAAAGAACTTCACAGTTGAAAAGCTCATGGTAACAGTTCTGCCATCATTATTTCCTTCAATGTCTGATCTGAAAAACTGGCTGGGAGCTGTGACTCCTTCAAATGTGGGATGTTTATACAGTGGCCCTGGGGCCTATTTGCCTAGGATGTGCAGGATAAAGATACTGCCTCCTTGGCACCCAGCGATGAACGTGGCTGTCCAAATAACACACAAGCTTCACACACCACACACATAAACACACACAACACAGATACCTCACACACCACAGACACCTTACACACACCTCATACAATGTATATAGCTTGCACACTACACACAACACACCCCAACCACACACTACACACACCATACACACCTGCCTCACACACAAACAACACACACACCTCACACACACATGCAACACACGTAACTCACACACTACACACACCTTACACACACACCTCACACCATGTATATAGCTTGCACACTACACACAACACACCCCAACTACACAGCACACACACCATACACACCTGCTTCACAAACAACACACACACACCTCACACACACCACATGCAACACATGTACCTCACACACTACACAACATACCCCAACCACACACCACACACACACACACACACACACACACACACACCATATACAGGACACATGCCTCACACACCTCACATTCACAGAACTCACAGATGCCACACATAACACACATACCTCATACACCATACACAACACACATACTTTATACACTACACACACCACACACATTATAAAACCCAACTACACACCAGAAAACACATGCACCTTACAAACTACACAACACACACACTACACAACACACATACTGCACACAACACACACACTACACACAACACACACACTGCACACAACACATACACAATCCTGAGGGATGAGAGTGGGAAAAAAGACATTCATAAAAAGCAGAAGGCTAAAAGCCAGTACCATGTAATCCAAGCACTTTGGGAGGCTGAGGCAGGAGGATCCCTTGAGCCTAGGAATTTGAGACCAATCTGGGCAACATAGTGAGACTCTGTCTCTACAAAATTTTTTTTTAAAAATTAGCCAGCTGTGGTGGCATGCACCTGTGGTCCCAGCTACTGGGAAGTCTGAGGCAGGAGGATCACTTGAGCCCAAAAGGATGAGGCTGCAGCGAGCTATGATTGTGCCACTGCACTCCAGCCTGAGCAAAGAGCAAGACTGTGTCTCAGAAAAAAAAAAAAAGTAGAAGGCTAATATTCTTAACAATTTTTTCCCACATGTAATATACAGAGGCAGATACCAAATAATTACAAATAGAAAATACTCATTTTGTGTGGCACATATACACCATGGAATACTATGCAGCCATAAAAAATGATGAGTTCATGTCCTTTGTAGGGACATGGATGAAATTGGAAATCGTCATTCTCAGCAACCTATTGCAAGGACGAAAAACCAAACACCGCATGTTCTCACTCATAGGTGGGAATTGAACAATGAGAACATGTGGACACAGGAAGGGGAACATCACACACCGCGGCCTGTTGTGGGGTGGGGGAAGGGGGGAGGGATAGCATTAGGAGATATACCTAATGTTAAATGACAAGTTAATGGGTGCAACACACCAACATGGCACATGTATACACATGTAACAAACCTGTACGTTGTGCACATGTACCCTAGAACTTAAAGTATAATAAAAATATATATATAAAAGAAAATATTCATTTTGATTAAGATATTATCACAGGAGCCCTATATTCAGGTCATAAAATATTGCATTTGTATCTTCTTTCTGTCGAACAAATTCAACTCTGACATTAGTGCCATTTAAACAAAACACACCAAAAGAGAAAGCCCTGAATAGATCTAAAATGAAACCTTGTCACCAAATGTCTGACTTCCTTGTCCGTTTTAGAAATACTGTTCTCTTAATCCCTTTGGCTGGAATCTTCCATGCTGTCATTCTTCTCTGCTGTCTCTCCATCCAATCAGATAGGAAATTCTATTAATTTTCCCTTACATATATCTTTCCAAGAAATTCTATTTTTTTCTCTTCTCACTGTCATCATCCTAGTCAACAACATAAAATCTGGATTTCTCACTTTACATCTGGAAATCTCTGTAGTGTGGTGGCCTGGAGGCCTCTTTATCCACATCTGAACACTGACAGCAGATTTGTTCAAAACAACAACAACAACAAAACACTGCTTGTGCTGATAAGTCTGATCAAGTCTTGACAAGTCTCTGATATGTAGAAAACTTTCTAACAAGTTCTGCCTGCTGGGAGTCTCAGCCTGTCTTGCCCCTAGTGGAAGTTCTTCTTGCCATTACCATTTCTCCCCAAACTCCTGTGTTCTCTCACTTTAGAAACTTAACTCAATTTCCTCTCTGTTTTTTTCTAGCATTATATCTGCCATATAGTAGTGATATATATCTATATATTTACATATCTATATGCATATATATGCATATGTTTGTATATGAATGAATGAGCTCATTCTTCAAATTATCCATAAAGAAAAAGTCTTTGGCTTTTTCCTCAATTTACAAAAGCAAACTCTACACAGAGTCACTTTGCATATCTAAGTGTTCATGCTTTAACTTAATAAATGTGAATCTGATGGGGGAACGCTGACTTAAAAATGTCTTAGCAAGTCAATTTTATTTTCCTCATTGCCTTAATAAATCCTTCTATTAGTCCATTCTTACGCTGCTAATAAAGACATACCTGAGACTGGGTAATATATAAAAAAAAAGTTTTAATTGACTCAGTTTTTCATGGCTGGGGAGGTCTCAGGAAACTTACAATCATGGCAGAAGGGGAAGCATACAAGCCCTTCTTTACATGGCAGCAGCAAGGAGAAGTGCCGAGCAAAAGGGGGAAAATCCCCTTATAAAACCATCAGATCTCATGAGAACTCACTCACTATCACAAGAACAGCATCAGGGTAACCACTCCCATGACTAAATTACCTCCCACCAGGTCCCTCCCAAACACATGGGGATTATAGGAACTACTCCAGATGAGATTTGGGTGGGGACACAGCCAAACCACTATTAATCATATTCTGTTTTTCAGGGAATTTTACAAGAGGATGGCTTGTATATGTATAGATGCATATAATTTAAATGTGTTACTAATGTAGGACTTTAGAACTACTCATTATTATATTTTTTGTGATAGTAAAAGCGAAGGTAACAAGTGATCAAAAATTCTAGCAAAAAAGAACAAATTGAACCTTATGGAGGACATTTGGTGGGGTCCCCGAAGACTTCAGAAATCTTTCTGTTGCTACCTTGTATGTACACGTGTTTGGTTCAGGAGTAAAAGTCCTTAAAATAAATTGTTATGGACTGAATGTATCTCCCTAAAATTAATATGTTGAAATTCTAATTCCCAATGTGATGACATTAAGAGGTGGGGCCTTTGGGAGACGATTAGGTCATGAGGGTGGAGCCCTCATAATGAGATTAGTGCCCTCATAAGAAGATACAGGAACAATACTTGTACAACTATAGAAATCCTTTAGTTTTTCAAGGACAATTTTTAAGATTATTTAATCCTATTTTGGGCATCTCTTATCAATTTGGAAGCAAACTTTTTTTTTTTTTTTGACAGGATCTCATCTCGTTCTGTCGCCCAGGCTGGGGTGCAGTGGCATGATCTCAGCTCACTGCAGCCTCAACCTTCCAGGGCTCAATTAATCCTCCTGCCTCAGCCTCCCAAGTAGCTGGGACTACAGATGCTTGTCACCACGCCTGTCTAATTTTTTATTTTTTGTAAAGATGAGGTCTCACTATGTTGCCTAGGCAGGTCTTGAACTCCTGGGCTCAAGCGATCCACCCGCCTCAGCCTCCCAAAGTGTTGGGATTATAGGCATGAGTCACTCTGCCCAGTGCAAACTTTATAAAAATTCATATTATTATCTCAGGTAAATTACCCATCTTATAACTTAATAGGTAATCTAGTGAAAATTATCCCAAAGCTACTCTTTTTACATAATTTGCTCATTTAAATGAACAAAATCATTTAACTTTTATTTTAAAATCTTCTCAAAAATAGTTCTATATCTTGCCAAAAATAAGGATTAGAAATACACGTGAAAAATTTCCCCTACCCTGGCCCCACCATGAGCCAACAGCAGAAAGCTTTAAAAGTAGCACATCAAAAACAGCATTATGAGAAATTTAATTATTCCCATTTCCTTGGTATTATACAATGTAAGAATACATTGTAGCCTCAAAAAATAAGGATTTTTAAACAGAGTAAATGAATATGACATTGTTTAAAACGTGTTATAGATAATTCTGTACTGCCCACTTCGACAAGCTTGTGTTAACTTTGTGTTGCTACCCTCATTAAACATAGTATTAAATTGCAAATGAATCAGAACACAAACAAGCAAGTATTATGGGGAATTAATCTTTTTTTGAAGTCTTGCAGAACAGGGGGTTTTGAGGGAATAATGGCAATTTTCAATAATTTTTCACTTGAAAATTATTCTTTAAATTCTTCTTACCATGATGGGCTGTTTTTTCACAAATGACCTTTGCTACATTTATTTCAATACATTGGCAGTTGATGATGTAGATGATGTAGGTTGTAAAGTTCCTTAAAGTAATAAAATGGTTCAAGTATAATGCTTGAGTAAGGAATGTTTATGGGGTTCAAAGATGATAAAACTCCATGCGGCTGTTGTGAAGATTAAATGGAACAATCCCATCAAAGATTAAGGTTGCTTTGAAATAGAGAGCCCTCAGCAAAGGTTACTTACTAACAGTATGATTTTAGTCATTATTACTAAAGTTACGTCTGGATTTTTTTTAAGCTCTAGGCAACCTTGACTTAAGTAAATGTCTTATTTTTTATCTTAATGAATATAACCTACATCAGTATCATTCATTCTATAACATATTTCAACATTTCAAATAGAAATTGTGGATTGTACACACAAAAAAACATTTAAACATAAAAGCATTTCATTTTAAAGTGATCTTAGTATTATGGTTGTTTTCTTTATGGAATTTTTAAACCAAGTCCTCCAAACCCATTGGGACTCTAAATTAAGCTGAGTTGTGAATGAGGTAACTATTAGACAGAATTACTATCTTGACATAACACAGTATGCCAACGGGCCTCAGAGTTATGCGTTTTTAGTGTTTTAATTGAAAAACAGCATATGCATGGGAAAATATACAAATTATGTGTGTATAGCTCGATGCATTTTCACATAACTAACACACACATGTATAACCAGTACTTATTAAGAAATAAAACTTTATTAGCACCTTACAAAACTCTGTCAGTCTCCCTGCTTATCACTAACCACCATCAGAGAAAACCACTGTCATAACTTTTAACGCTCTTAGCTTTTCTATTTTGGAATATACCATAGTAGGTAGTCTTTGGCATATGGTTCCTTTCACTCAATGTTATGTTGGGAAGATTCATCCAGATTGTTGTGTACTGATGGGTATGATTCAGAAAGAATGGTGGTGTGTATAAAATATGAGAGAAATGGAAAAATTCCTGATCAATGTCTTTGAACAGGAAGAAGGTATAAGGTCTAACACATAAGCACTGGCTTTATTAGTTCATCTACCTTAACAGGATCAAGATTTATCTTTGTTTGCCTGAACTAGCACAATGCTTTGCTAAAATGGATGTTCAATCCACATGTGTATTTAATTTTCCTTTGTTGTGTGTAGTTGCAGTTTGTTCACTCTAATTTCTGTATAATACTCCATAGTGTGAAGATGTGACAATTTATCTGCCCACTCTATGTCAATGAATATTTGGGTTATTTTGCATTTGGGACAATTGTGAAGAGTATGCCTATGACCATTCTTGTTTTTTGGTAAACATACGGATACATTTCTGTGGACATAAGCCCATGAGAGCAATTTATTTAGTTATTAAGTATGACGTTCGGCTTTCGTGGATACTGTAAAACAGTTTTCCAAAGTGAATGTGCCTAGTTATAGTCCCCAAAACAGGGAGAGTTCTTACTGCTTCACATCCTTTCCAACACTTGGTATCACCAGTCTTTTTATTTCTAGCCATTGTGCAGGATGTACATTGTCAAGAACTAAAAAGGGTCTGAGATTTTTATACTAAAATCAGGCTAATTAACTTACCACAAGTTTATGAAGCCTGGAAGAAGACTTGATATTCTTGGGTCAGAGATGAAGGATAGCTGATTACTTCACAGCAATAACAGTAACTAGAGTGCCAGCACTTCTGCACTGGCTCCCCAAGCCCCAGGGACCACAAGGCAAAGCAAAGACAGCCAGATGGCACCTGCAGGAGCAGTGGGTTGTGTTACATGTGAGAAATCCTGAGTTTACTGAACCTGAATCTTTTAGAGTGGGCAGTAAGCTAAGCATGCCTGCTTGCTCCACACAGAGACACCATTTTCGTTGTCTAAGGTTGTCCATGATACAGATGTTTTTGAGAAGGCAATCTACAACAAAAAACAGACTCTCAAAGCATGTCTTGTAAGACATGCAGAAGCATGAAAGACGTATGGAGAATTCTCTCTCAACGGTGGTGGAAGCACATTATGGTTTTAATTTGCATCTTGCTGATAACTAATGAAGATGAGTGCCTTTTCATGTCTATTGGGCATTTGAATACCCTTTTTTAAGAAGTGCCTGTTCAAGTGTCTTGGCCTGTGTTTCTATTGGTTTCTCTGGTGGTGGTGGTGGTTTTTCTCATTTATTTGTGAGAATTCTGTATATGTTCTGAATACTAGTGCTTTGTCTCATATGTTTTGCAAATATCTTCCCCTCGTCCAGTGGCTGACCTTTTCATTATCTTAATATGCCATTTGACAAAGATATTTTCAATTTTGGTACTGGCCCAAAAATAGACAAATAAAACAATGGAAAAAATGGAGTACAGAAACAGAGACCTCACTGTCTTAGTCCATTAGAGATGCTAGAAAAATACCTTATACTGAGTAATTTATAAATGACAGAAATTTATTTCTCACAGTTCTAGGGGTCAGGAAGTCCCAAGATCAAGGCATCAGCAGATTTGGTGTCTGGGGAAGGCCTGCTCCTTATAGATAGTGGTTCTGTGTGTTCTCACATGGTGAAAGGGCAGAGAGGGCCAGAAATTTCCATTCTCTTCTAAGGGCACTAATCCCATTTATGAGTGTGGAGCCCTCATAACTTAACCACTTCTCAAAGGCCTGCCTCTTAATATTACTATGATTGGGATGAGGTTTCAACACGAGTTTAGGAGAGATGCAATGAGACTGCAGCACTCACATTTGCATGATTATCTGATTTTCTGACAACGTTGAGTGGGAAAAGTCCTCAACTTTTAAATAAATGGTTTGGGTTAATGGGATAGGCGTGAAAAAATAAATATGGAAAAAAATTAATCTTGATTCCTACTCTCACACCATAATACAATCCTTGATAGACTATAAATATAAAAGGTTAAACAATAAAACTTTTAGACTAAAATAGGAAAATATCTTTATGACTTTAAGGTGGGTAAAATTATATTAAAAGGACCTCTATATGTTAACCATAAAGAAAATTTGATAAATTTGACTACATTAAAAAGTTACAGCCAGGAAGCAGTGGCTCACTCCTGTAATCCCAGCACTTTGGGAGGCTAGGGTGGGTAGATCACTGGAGGTCAGGAGTTTGAGACCAGCCTGGCCAACATGGTGAAACCCCATCTCTACTAAAAATACAAAAAATTAGCCAGACGTGGTGGCAGGTGCCTGTAATTCCAGCTACTTGGAAGACTGAGGCAGGAGAACCGCTTGAACCCAGGAGGTTACAGTGAGCCAAGATTATGCAACTGCCCTCCAGCCTGGGTGACAGAGCAAGACTCCCATCTCAAAAAAAAAAAAAAAAAGTTACAAATTGGAATTATTAAACTGAGTCTCATATATGCAAAAAGTTCAAAGAAAATGCATTCTTACTAATACCTTTTAAAAATATTTTTCTCTCCAGGCCCCTTTCCAATACTACAGGAGACTTAGGTTCTAATAGAACAAATGATGTATAAGAAGCAGCTTGAAACCTCAGAATGTAACCACAAAACCACAACAGCTTAGAAGGTACGGTATTCTAATAATGAAGACTTGATGTATGTACCTTGCTAATGGGAGAGAAAACCTAGATAATTTGTCATGAATGGATTCAGTATTTTTTCTGTTGCCACAATGATCAGACAAATAAATAAATCTACTAATTTGTCAATGCAGTTAATGCACACATTACATCTTTTAATCAAGCTTTCTGTTGCAAAAAACACCTCACAAAAGTTAAATGGTGTTTATTTGAGGACACCAACTGGAAAAAGAAAGACCTGAACACCATCAGACATCAACCCTGCTTAGTGATTAGCAGAGATGGGTATTCTGTGAACCCAAGAAAGCCTAAGCTTCAGACCTATGACTGGCTTGGATCTTTAACAAGAATCTGGGAGAGCCTCCAGCCATTTTATATTTGTAATTGTATACCCTTTTTCTTATACAAGACCCTTAGAATTGTGTAAACTTATGGCCCTGGATACCTGGGTCTGCCCTTTGTTGCCAATTAATCCTTTCATTTCCACAGTAAGGCTTCTCTTTCTGCCTACAAACTGATGTCTGATGATTACCCAAATTTTCTGCTTTCTGGTGAACTCAGTCCCCATGGCCTATGATCTTGCTTTCATGATGAAAAGTCAGATTCTCTCCTATTAGCAACTGTATAATTCTTTCAATGTTTCCCAGTTAAAACACAAGAGTAAAATGGGGATTGGCTCAGCTTGTCCTTTTCTACTAGACTACATCATAAATCACTGAACAACCTATGAAATGATTGCTCTTGTGTCAGGTGTCTAGCACAGACACAGGAGGGCCCCACGGGACACACTGCCACCATCTACTCCTTCAGCAGGGGCTCTGACCACCATCTGTTATACTCACATCTCTCATTCAACAGAGAACCTCAGTTTTTGATTGAAAGTCCAGAGACTAAAGTATAGGATGTGCAAACTTCATTGCGAAAATTAGGTAAGGCTATGTCAAGATTCTGTAACTTTTAAGTATGGAATAGAAAGTTCCAGATCCATAGAAATTTGGCATCAGCTTGTGCTCTCTGGGCTTACTGTTGGTCTCAGAGGTCCTGACTTAGGGAGACCTTAAAATAGTCCCAGATCAGCTCTTCTCTGGAATATCACTGCTCACCCTGTATTCCTGAGATGGAGGGGTGGGGGTATCACAGATTTTCCCAGAGCAATCAGATTTCCAGCGTGTGCCACTCATTAGGGGACCCATAGACTTCGAAAAGCAAACACATTTGTGATGAGTGAGACACACCCAATTATTACTTAATTATTCTTTAGGTAGTTTAGGGATGGTTTGATTTGCTTCATTAGTAGAGATTTAGGTCAGAAAAACAATAGATAATGAAGAGAATTATTATTATTAATTATTATTATTTTGAGACGGTTGCAAGCTCTGCCTCCTGGGTTCATGCCATTCTCCTGCCTCAGCCTCCCAAGAAGATATTCAACTATTAAATTACTAGAAAATGTCAGGAAGGGGAAGTTGGAGTGCCTGTCTATACTGGGTCAGTTCTCACCAGTGTTTAGAACAGGCCATGTAGACATGGGACAGAAAGAGAACTGATTTAGCAACACAACGTACATTAAAGTCATATAAGAAAAATAAAATTTGTCCCACAGAATAAATCAGCCTCCCTGTTTATAGGTAGAGAGACAGTTGGGTACATCAGGACAGAGCCAAAGAGGTCAAAACACCGTTGCATCCGAATAGCGGAAGGGAAAGTGGGCAGGAAAACAGTCAAACAGTCCCTCTTTACTAGAGATGAAGCTGCAGGGGAGAGGGGACTTGGTTGATTCACGATGAGGTTACCCCCCGAACACTGCCGGGCGACATAATATCAGGGAGGGACAGGGAACACAGCATTTCCCTAACTGCTTGGCTTCCATTTGTCAAATAATTGAATCATAAAGTTTTATGAAGTTTTGCAGGTTGTGTTATACAAGGAAAATAAACTTTCCTCTATTTCTTTCCTGTTTTTTTTTTTTTTTTTTTTTTTTTTTGAGATGGAGTCTTGCTCTGTTGCCCAGGCTGGAGTGCAGTGTAGCAAGATCTTGGCTCACTGCAACCTCTGCTTCCTGGGTTCAACTGATTCTCCTGCCTCAGCCTCCTGAGTGGCTGAGAGTACAGGAGTGTGCCACCATGCCTGGCTAATTTTTATATGTTTAGTATAGATGGGGTTTCACTATGTTGGCCAGGCTGGTCTCTAACTCCTGACCTCCAGTGATCCACCCACCTCGGCCTCCCAAAGCGGTGGGATTATAGGCATGAGCCACCGTGCGTGGCCTCCTCTCTATTTCTTTCTCCCTCAACTCTCCCTCTCCTCTCTCTTCACCTCTCCCTGCATCTTTCGCTCTCTCCCCTCTCTCCCCACCTCCTTTTGTCCCCATCTCCTCTTGCTCCCCCACTCCTCGTGCTCCCCCCCTTGCTGCCCCCATCCTCTTGCTCTCTTTCTTCTTGATCTCCCTCTTCTCTTTCTTCCTCTCCTCTCTCTTCTCTCTTCCCTCTCTCTTTGCTCCCCCAATTCCCCATACTGCAGTCTTTTTGCTCTTCTTATGAGACTGTTCAGTGAACAACTGGAATGAGCTATATAGCACAACATGGTCCAGATAGAAGAGAGAAGGAATGGAAGAGAGCATGCTTTCCTTTCTTCTCTACATTAATGAAAGAGCAAACTGGTGGGTGCAGTGGCTCACGCCTGTAATCCCAGCACTTTGGGAGGCCGAGGCAGGCAGATCATGAGGTCAGGAGATCGAGACCATCCTGACTAACACGGTGAAAACTAGTCTCTATTAAAAATACAAAAAATTAGCTGGGTGTGGTGGCGGGCACCTGTAGTCGCAGCTACTCGGGAGGCTGAGGCAGGAGAACGGCTTGAATCTTGGAGGTGGAGCTTGCAGTGAGCCAAGATGGTGCCACAGCACTCCAGCCTGGGCGACAGAGCGAGACTCCGTCTCAAAAAAAATAAAAATAAAAATAAAGAAAGAAACAAAGAAAGAGCAAACAATTAAATATATACTCATTGAACATCCGTCATGGACAAAGTATTGTGCTAGTTCAGGAAAACAAAGATAAATCTTGATCCTGTTAAAACAGATGAACTAATAAAGCCAGTGCTTATGCATTAGAACTTATACCCTCTCACCTGCTCAAAGACATGGATCTAGTGATTTTCCCATTTCTTCCCTATTTCATCGATCCACACTACTTCTTCTGAATCATTCCCACCAACACACAGAGGTATTTTCATCTTAAAAACAACGAGGCAACAAACAAACCAACAATTCCCTCCCAGCCCACTTCCTCCGACCTGTTTCCTACTCACTTCTCTGATCCCCTTACAAAACTCCTTAAAAGGGCTGTTTATATTGTTTCTAGTTTCTCCCCACTTCTCTCTTAAACCCATTTTAAGCAGGCCTCTTCTCCCCACATTCTACAGAAATTATTTTGTCTTAACCCACACCTTACGATCACTTGACTTGGCTTCCAGGCACCATACTCTCTTGGGTTTCCTCATACCCTGCTGGGGGCTCCTCAGCCTCCTTTGCTGATTCTCCCTTGTGTACTGACCAGTTAATGGTGGAGGGTGTCGGGGCTGTCTTTGGTTCCCTTCCCTTTTCCATTTACATTCACTCCCATGATCTTTTCACTCAGTCACATGGCTTTAAATACCATCTACGTACTAATGGTCCCCACGTTTTCACCTCCAGCTCAGACTTCTTGCTCATGCTCCAAATCAAAATACCCAAATGTCTACTTAGATGTAGAGGAGACATCTCTAACTCATTATGCCCAAAAATAAGGTGCTGATATTCTCAAACTTACTTCATCTGAAGTCTTTCCTTAGTCAGTAAATAGAAAGTCCTTTTCAGTTGCTCAAGCCGAACAATTCAAGAGTCATCTTGACTCCTCTTTCTTAAAATCGTTTTCATAATACCGTCAACATATACTTAGAATCTGACCATTTTTGCCATCTGAATTCCTACTACCCTGGACTTAGCAACCACCCTCTCATCTGAATAACTACAATAGACTCCTACCAAGTTCCCCTGCATATTATCCTTGCACACTTAGAATCAACTCTCAACACAGAGAGAAGTCAAGAACTGAATGACTTTGCCTTCTATCATCTTTTTTTGTTTTACTTTTCTGCTTAGATAATGGACTCTGTTGAAACAGCAGAGTTCCCTGATCCACCTCACCTGACGTGCGACAGGGGTGTGGCTTGTCTCTTCGGTCACTGCCACTGCTCAAACCCCTGAGGGAAGGGGGCGCACACAGATGGATGAATGCAGGAGCCCAAGTGGGTATGTGTTACAGTGTGCCCTTTTAGCCCTGCCGTCCACAGATGGCTTGAGTGTTAACCAGCTCATTGGACTCTCTGCCCTTCTGCAAGGGCAGAGGGCCAGTGTGACAGCTTGCTGTATCTCAAGCTCTTGTTCAGCATCCTGGAAGAATTGGGTCACAGACTTGAAGGATGAATATGGGGGTTTTATCAAGTGGTGGAGGTGGCTGTCAGTGGATGGATGGGGAGCCTGAAGGAGGGATGGAGTGGGAAAATGATCTTTCCCTGGAGCCTTGCCATCCAGCAGCCGATTCCACTCTGATCACCCCCAGCTGAACTCCTCTCAGTGTTTAGACATTGCTCCTTCTTTCTCTGCCACATCATTCACCCATTCATCTACTTATCTCATCTTGTCTGCTCCTCTGCTTCTGGAACCTGGGGTTTGGGGTTTATGTGGGTGCAAGACAGGGAGCATCGTGGGCCAAAAGGCAACTTTTTGGGTGTGAAAACAGGCATGCCTGTCCCCATTTAGGACCATGGGTCTCCAGGCTTGAGGGCATGGCCTTGGATGGGGAACCGCCCTCTTCCACCCAGTATTTCCCTGTCTCCTGTCCATACCACTGGTTGATAAGGTTGTAACTATAACTCCCGAATTGAACAAGCACAAAGAGGCCAACATTACTGCACAAGATAAAGGAAGGAAGATATTCAGAAAGAGAGATCCAAGAGGGTAGGTGAAGTGATAGTAGGGTGACAGTAGGGACAGAGTCAAGGAAAGGAAGAGGGAGAAGCTGGGAAGATCTTGAGCTGCAATGAAGGCTGTGATTTTAGAGAGAAAATATTTCTCTGAGCTATGCAGTGGTTTCTTTTTCTTTCTTCTTCTTCTTCTTCTTTTTTTTTTTTTTAAGACAGAGTCTTGCTCTGTCACCCAAGCTGGAGGGCAGTGGTGCTCACGCCCGGCTAATTTTTGTATTTTTAGTAGAGACGGGGTTTCATCATGTTGGCCAGGCTGGTCTCAAACTCCTGACTGCAAGTGATCCATCCGCCTAGGCCTTCCAAAGTGCTGGGATTTTTCTTTACCAGAAAACTTCAGTAAAACACAAAACTGTAGACAGTGCATTTTGGAATCAATTTCTGTTGGTTTTCAATGAAACACTCAGCTGAGACTGGTCTCGAGGCAACTCAGTATAGTATTTGGTTGTACTGGAGAATGACACAGGCTTTGAAGCAATTAAAGTACAGGTATGTAGAGGACAGAGCATTGGCAGATAAGGCTAGCAAATATACTATAGCCAGGGGTAAAGAGTTGGGTATGAAAGCTAAGGGATTTGAACTACATCTTACAGACAATAAAGAGACATTTCACTTTAATAAGGGAATCAACAACAAGATCAATGCTAAATTTGATGAGAAATTGGAAATAGTCTGGTGGAGGAAATTAAAAAGGCAATTTTTCCAGTCGTAAAGAAGGAGAGATGGTGAAAGTTCTAAACTAGGCAAGAATAAAAGATAGGTAAGAAAAGCTGTGTTTGGGCTAGGCGCAGTGGCTCATGCCTGTAATCCTAGCACTTTGGGAGGCTGAGGTGGGCCGATTGCCTGAGCTCAGGAGTTCGAGACCAGCCTGAGCAACAAGGAGAAACCCTGTCTCTACTAAAATACAAAACATTAGCTGGGTGTGGCAGCTATGTGGGAGGCTGAGGCAGAAGAGTCTCTTGAACCCTGGAGGTGGAAGTGCAGCAAGCCGAGATCATGCCACTGCAATCCAACGTGAGTGAAAGAACAAGACTCTGTCTCCAAAAAAAAAAAAAAAAAAAAAAGAAAAGAAAAGAAAGAAAAGCTGTGTTTGACACGCACATGTCTCTGTCACTCTTGTTACTACTGAATTTCACCCAATAAGCATTCCTACAAAGAAATAAGAGTTGATGTAGAACTGGAGGTAACAGCCAAGCTGATTTCAAAGATCAGGTTCAGAATGACTCCAAGGTTATTAAGCTAGAGGTTTGGAGTAGATAAAGACACCACTGACAAAGAAAATGAACCCAGGAAGAACCGGGTAGCAGCTGAGAGAGGGGGTAAAAATCATGTGGTCAGATTTTTAAACGTTGAGTTTGAACAGCCTATTGGACATTCAAAGGCCATGCCCAAAGAGCTATCTGACTACCAATCTTCAAGCTCGAAGGGGCTGGAAATAGAGATTTGGGTGCCATGAGCAGAAGTGTGAGCACTGAAGCTGTGAGTATGGATGTGATCATCTAGGGATAATGAGGAAAACAAGAGATGCAAGAGCAGACTGAAGAGGGATGGACAGAGAAAGAGAAGGCCTTGAAAAGATGGACACAACCAAAATGGACTCCAAAAAGCATGGACTGCAACGCTTTTCTGTATATGTAAAAACCAAGGGCTATTTAGAAGCTAGAAACTAAGAGAAGTTTCAAGATCACTTCTCTTTCTCTCTTGCCTATCCCTACCGCCCCCTGCAACACACACACACACACACACACACACACACACACACACACACATTGACCTTCTTTTACGGTAAAATGAGATCCCAAGTCATCAAAGTACTAAAAGCTGCAAAAGAACACTCCCCACTTAGCCTGCTCCATCACACCCTCTTGACATTTCTGCTAATTCTAGAGTGTCAGATCCTTAGTAGGGATGAGGAAACAAAAAACAGCAATGAAAACTGCACAGTGGCTCATGCCTGTGATCCCAGGCCTTTGGGAGGCCGAGGCAGGCAGATCACGAGATCAAGAGATCAAAACCATCCTGGCCAACATGGTAAAACCTTGTCTCTACTAAAAATACAAAATACAAAATACACAAATTAGCTGGGCGTAGTGGCACGTGCCTGTAGTCCCAGCTACTCAGGAGGCTGAGATGGGAGAATCACTTGAACCCAGGAGGGAGAGGTTGCAGTGAGCAGAGACTGCGCCACGGCACTCCAGCTGGTAACAGAGTGAGACTCCGTCTCAAAAAAACAAAACAAAACAAAACAAAACAAAACAAAACCAAGGGGTATTGCACTAAGACTTTACATCCACTCCTCTTAACAGTTCTATGTGGGTTTTAACATTTCCATGAAGTATATCAAAACTGAGGCTCAAAACTTGCTGTCCGAACGTCAGAGCCCTTTAGCAAGTGACAAAGCTAGGATCTGACTCTGAACAGCCCGTCTACCTCAGTTCCTGCCTTATATTCAACCTCAGAGACATGCCACTTTGTCAGTATTTAATCGGATGAAAAAGATTAAGAATTTCCCTTCCTATCTTTTTGTAAGAAAGTTAGAAGATCTCAGATAAAATTTTAAGATTCACAGTGATGGAAAGCAATGCTGGTGATTAAGAATAAACCTGCGGATAATAAAAGAGACATTAAAATATGAGTAGATTGATGATGGGGCCATAGTAATATAAACAAGCCCAAGTGTTGGAACCTATTTATTTTATTAAAAACATAGAAAGAGAAACATATGAAAAGCACTCAAAGAAAAAAAAAGCTGGTCTTCATTCCTATCCTGTAGATAATTTCGGGCCACATTGCTTCATCTCTCCCCTTTGTCAAACTCCTAATCCAGATAAATGCTAAGTCATTTTCACTTATCAGAGAATGTCAAAGTACCTGCCCTTGAGCCCTCACTAGGTGTCCAAAAAAGGCTCCCATTTCCCGTGTTATGCTGGCTATTTCTGATGGAGGAATCTTCAGATACGTTCCTCATTGGTCCCATGATTGAAGTCTGTTTTTAGATGGACATTTTCCAGTTTAAATAAATTAAGAGCAATTTAACTTCATCTGCTATTAGAGATCTGGGATAATTCTGCAGCACACAAACTGAACATTTATTTTCTATAGTAAGGGAGATGATAAATGGATGTCTTAAGGGATACAACAGAACATTTTAGAACTCAGAGAACGAGTTAAGAGTGTTAAGAAGGCACATTGATATCTTCTTTCATTAAGCTGGAAGTTACTGAGTTTTTCACTTAAGAAAATTCCACAGCCTTAAGAAAAAAACACGAATGTGGTATTTTTAAGAAAAAATAGCAATAGGGATCTTGGAGCCATGGCTATGTTAAAACAAAACAAAACAAAACCAACAAAATCAGGGTGAATTAGGCAGGTATATTCTTCTCAAGCACAAGAGAAAAATCGGTTAAACTAAGTAATGATTAATGCAAATTTATAATTAGAGAACAAAATACCTACTTACATTTCTTTAATCTTTCATTTATAAATAGTTTTTAAATTGGACTTTAAGAGAATTGAATTCTATCATAGAACAGGAAAAATTGGGTGGAAAACCATAGAGTTTGACTCAGTTAACCAATATCTTTGGAACAAGATTCCACTGAATAGCAAATACTCTAACTTTTGAAAAGTAAAATAACCAGGAAAAAACAATAGCCCCTGGGATTCTGATCTTGCAGCTTCATACCTTCAAAGTATAGTTAAGATGAAGACTCTTCTCATCACCATTACCTTCCCAGGCTCAACCTTTACTCTGACCTCACACAACCTGTATTCCTACATACTTCAAAAATAGTTGGAATAAAATTTTGGCCATACTTTTAATATAATCACAGATGATTCATTTGCTATTCTCTGAGCTTTAACCCAACCAAATTATATTGCCAATGTGATTTTCTCAAGCCAGAAATATTGGTCCAAAGTAGCAGACTAACAAATGTATTGGAACATTGGGCTGCTGTTCTAGACGCACCTTAATTATGTAAAATATCTCTATGACTGTGGGCTGAAAAATGGCGCCCAAGCACTCACCATATTTTATCCATATCCAATTTGTTAGACAGGCCTCAGTTAGCATGGAGCTTCCACATAATGAAATAGAACTAGACCTAAAGGAAACGTGAATTGACATAAACCTTATGATGCCAAATTTATGGTAAGTGCATCAAGACCAGGATATGGCCTTTTTCTTACACCAACAGAATGAGTAAGATCTACAGTCACGATTAGGAAGAAAATAAACACTGCATTACCCAGATATGGGCATTTTCACCTCTTACTATAACTACTTGTTTACGAGACCATCCTGCCTGCTAGGCTGGACACTTATTTAGCACACGGTATGCGATTTGTTCATTGCTATATTCGCAGTGCCTACATTGCCCGGCCACGAGTCAGGGCCCCATAAGTGTTGAATAAATGGCATTTTAAAATGGATAGACTTGTGGGTTGTATTGGAAGAGCTGTAATCAATGGTCAGATCCAGAGGATTCTGAGGATTCCCTTCCTAACATTTTAAGTTTTTAATGTTCTGTGTCAGTAAATACAGTCCAGGCCAGCAGAGGGCAGTGTGACAGACGATGGAACTAGTTTCATGGAGAACTTATTAAAAATGACACTGGGTGGCAAGAGGTTATCGATGGTGGTGGGACTCAAGGTTATTGTCATTTGCCTGGTACAGAATATACAGTGCTCACTCATTTTTCTTAAAAAATAGTTTTGACACGTGGTGTCAGTGTGCTGTCATATGTCCAATAGAATGTTCAGGAAAGAGAGAACCCCCAGTTTCTGGCTGAATGCCCAAGTCAAGAAGAGGGCATCATTTTCCCGAAGCGATTTGAGTCCCTCAAGACCATGGGATGCGCATACTAACGTCCATCACAAATTAACATATTGTAATATGGCTTTTTAACAGAAAGTGTTCTCCAGGTCCCGAGGAGACATTCCGTGCTCATAAAAACAGGACCAAAAACAGATGAAATTACTTCGAAACAATCCTGAATGATTTAGTGTGTTTCTGACAAAGGGAAAGAAAAAAGTCATTTATTTTCCCTGTCATGAGCGCCAGAGAGGATTAACGTCATTTTGGGCAATGGAGAAGAAAATGCAAACCATTGTTTACAGTCATCGTCAAAACCCTGTATGCCAATTTCATTTTCTAGAATGTGTGGAAGTATTTCAACTGTTTGGTTCCTTTTTGAAACCAAATACCAAAATTCATTATGAGAGCAACTGTTTGCCTGAGAATATTATTAATTTATGGTAACTTCTAGTGGTTATGCTTTTTCTTTTTACCATCTCATTTTAATAATTATGGAAATATTAAAATCTGATAGACTGGTGACAATGTACCTTTTATGGCACTCCTGAGTCCCCTCAATATAATATTATCTACAATATGTTATGCAGTCTGCTAGCCTCATTTGTTCCTGTCCTTAGAGAGCTCCATCTAGTTTCTTAGCATCCGTAATGAGCATATAGAAAATAGTTGACTTGATGGAATCTATTGTCACCCTCCTCTTCAAGGTTTTCTTGTCCATGATATGAAAAAAAATTTCATTTCAGCAACATTCATTGATTCATCACTAAGGGCCCAGCATTGGGAAGTACATAAAAGCAGCTTATAACTCATTCTGCCTTGGGGAAATTCTGCACACTTGGGGACTAAGCATTCAAATATATGGAGTCTAAAGGTGCTTCACTCCAATATTGACAGGAAACCTGGGTCAGGACTGAAGGAATTAATGTCATTCACTACCTACCCAAGTGGAATTCAGCATTTAAGTTTCAGATTGAAATTGAGAAAAGTAATGAGTTGAAAAAATAAGATGGAGTTTACTTCCCATAACCACTGTAATAAACCTACTATAATTCTTGAGAATGTCATGTACCAAAAATCTAAACCACTCTCTAGAGTTCACCAGCAAATGAGAAAGGAGATTTTGCTCTATTAAAAAGGAAAAGGATTTGAAGTGAAGTCAATCTGGCTGTTGATGCTTTGTATAACTTTGTTTGTTAAATCAACTCAGACTTTAATAGGTTGACATTCTTATCATTTTGTCTAGTGCAAAGAGAATAAATTTGATAGCCTTAGTTCAAACAATGGAATGGAAAAGTAGGCAGAGTGAATGCATTGTACAAAATCAGCAAATGCTCCCCAGAATGACTCCCCAAAGCCTGTCTTATGTATCAAATCAGCCATGCTCCTCAAATCAGGTTTCCTGAAAATGAACTTGGCTAGATAGCTAAAAAAGAGACTGTGTGTGTCTATTTGTGTGTATGTGTATTTGTGTGTATCTTTGCAATGCGAATGTGTGTTTGTGTGTGGGTATGCATGTGTGCCCTATGTATGCATGTGTGAGGGTATGTATGTATGTATGTTGGAGCAAAGAAGGTGTTGGAAGATTTTTCTTTGCCTAGTCAGCAGTATCTCTAAGGAATAAGTGAAGATGCAAAGAATGATTACCTTAGAGCTTCACATAATCTGCTTGTTACTGAAAAGACCATAGTGTTATTTCAGTTCTTGATACTTAATGTTCTTCTAAAAGAGAAAAATACTTATTTTCTAAAAATGTATCCCTGCTTCTGAGAAGCTCTAACTTGCCAAACTTTCATTGACAAGAAAAGGTACTCCAGGAATAATTTCAGATACCACAATATCTGCTGACCCCATCTCTCCTTGAGGAATATGCTTCCTTGAGGAGGTAGCATAGGTAGACAGAAGATGAGGTCAGGAATTAAATAAACCTGGATTTTAATCCTGGCTCTATGGTTTACTAACTGTGTTTGAGCAGGTTCCTTAACCTCTTCCTAAGCCTCAGTTTCCTCTTCTATGAAATGGATTTACAATTGTACCTACTTTACAGAGTTGTTATAAAAAGGAATTGAGATGATGTAGTCATATGTGTAGTATAGAAGTAGCCACATGGTAAGTATTCAGTATGTGTTAATGATAATGATCTTGTTTGCAAATGAAACATACACATAGTAACAAACACCATTATAGAACAATAATGAGCCAAAGCATATGGGATTCCCCATCTCCTGAATTTCAGAAGACACAAACCATCTTCTCAAATCTACTATCACTTATTTAATATTTTATTATACAAATAAATTTAGCTTTGTTATAAAAATAGTATTTGTGAAATCACAGATTTTATGTGCTAGTTAGAGGT
This sequence comes from Homo sapiens, assembly GCF_000001405.40. Lineage (NCBI taxonomy): Eukaryota > Metazoa > Chordata > Mammalia > Primates > Hominidae > Homo > Homo sapiens. The sequence goes on along the minus strand of NC_000010.11, from coordinate 18,101,845 downwards.
TTTTTCTCTAGTTAACAACATAATACTGAAACATTTAGAAATGTTTGCCTGTGTATCACTTAGAACTATCTTGTGTATCCCTAGTGGTACACACCACACATTTTGGAAAAAAAAAAACAAACAAACTAAGTGGCTATAAAGTAAAAAAGACAAATATAAACTGAGGAAGGCTTTATGTAGGAGGTAGATTTAAGGAGGGGCTTGAAGGATGAAGGATGAATAAAATCAGAGGGCTCACATAAGAAACAACTGTTAAATGAATGAATTAATCAATATATCACCAGATTAATTAGACCTCCGTATCAGTGAGGCAGGATAATAGAAATTATTAAAATTTTTAACTTGATTTGTAGTCCTCTAACTGATCAGAAAGAGAATAACATATACAGAAAACTGACAAACATTTTATACTATTCTTTTATGTGGGACCACTGAAAATTAGAAAAAAAAACCCCATAACAGTTAATTATTTGTATAAATACTCTCCAACTCTGCTGGTTTCTGGAGGTTTGTCTCGGCCAAGTTATTTTCCCTCTCTAAGCCTCTGTTTCTCACTGTAAAATGGGGATAGTACTTGCTTTGCAGGTTATTATCAGGATTAAAGGAGATAATGTGTGTAAAATCTTTTTCATTGTACGGTCAAGACCTCAACAAATGGCAGCCATTATTATTAAAATTATAATAGATTTATAATTATTATAATGATTTATCACAGTACTACCTGTAAGTTTTAACAAATAGTACCAAGAAAAATACGAGGACTTCGTTATCTGGCAAAGGAAATATTTTTATTGACTGTATGTCAGTACTCAGAGATGTAAGTAAGAAAACGGAGTTGCCCCCCTCCCCAAAAAAATCATGATTAATCTTCACATCTCTGAAGCATCAATGTCATTTAAGATCCTATTTAGACTTTCTCTTCTCTAACAGACCCTGGGCATTTTCAAATGGAAATCCTGCTTAGGAAACCACAGGTTATGCAATTGAGTGTGTTCATAGTTGCACCACATCCTGAAAGTTCACTTATTATAGCAAAAATCCATTTTCAAGGATGTAGCAAGGTATGGTTCTTCTGCACCTCTAAGAAACTGATCATCCATAAGAAACATGGATGACCCATGTGCTCAGGGGACAATTTGTAGTGGACATAATTACCATCTGTTTTCATTCTTAGCTATAGTAAAACAGCAATTATATTTGTAATTCAGTTTTGCTGCTCTTGATATTTCACAAAATACCATAAACATAAAAATTCACTTAAAGAGAGTAAGACTTAAGAGTAAGACTTTAAAATCTGAGAATGTTCACATGTGCAAATATAGTTTACTAAAAAAAGAGTATTTTGCTGCTATGTTAAAAAAAACAGTCTCAATATTTTCAGAGCTTCTCTCTCAGAAAAACTCAAAATATTTTGTGAAAGAAGAGCTCTTAATATTCCTGCAAGACAGACTGAGGACAGTATCCTTGTTTTGCAAAGGGGAATACCAGGTTCAGCTCAATTATGTGGTTTTTGCAATCTTTACCTTCCTCCAGGGTTTAGTAGCTTGAGAAATATGTTGCCTGTAGCATCTCAATGATTTAAAATTTTCACCAGCAGGCCATGAACACAGGACTGCCACCTTTTGATACAAGATCAGTGTGACTTTTATGGTCTTTCCTACAATGCATAAAAGCAGCCAGTGGACTGGTTTTCCTTGGGCATTGATGCACCTTGTTTGTGAAAGACCTATGCTCACAGAAATCTTATTTTACCTTCCTTTTTCTTCCTTTTTCTTTCTACAACAAACTCTATTGTGCTTTACATTTCTGTGACCACAACTCACTCACTTTTTAATAGAAGAATGAATAGTACAGAAAGTCAAATCATATCACTATTTCAGAGAGTTTAAAACATAAGATTTAGAGTTTGTATCTTCCATATTTGGATATTTTATGGTTATAGAAAACATGGTAAATATTCCTCAAAGCAAAAGGTGCTTGTTGCTCGGTCCTAAGTCCACTCTGTGGTGTTCAAGCTTTGCAAGTGACCTGTATCTGGGATAGATCCACTTATTGGAGAACCAGCTGGAAGGACATTCAGCACCGGTCTATCAGTAATTCAATTCAGGTGTTTATTCAAATGCCACATCAAAGATTCTACTCCAGTTGACTTTGTTTTGCAGTATGTGTAGTCTGGAACATCTCTCTCATTTGCAGACCAGGGTTATTGGCCCAGGACCAAGACTACGAAATAGAAATGATGCTTTAGTCATAGCCTCACTTAGCCTTTATGTCTAGCGTAAGCTGTCTAATATTCAGCCAAGACAGAACAGCTCTTACCACAGGAAGCAAACCTCAAACTAGTCTACCTGGCTCAGATAGTCCATATATGTATGATCAAAACCAGGGGCAGAAATAATAATTCATTCTTAATTCTATATGAATTGCTCACTTTCAGGCTAACTCATGGTATATGCCTCCTAGGATTTCCATTATGTTTTTGAGTGAATCACTTAAGTCTGCTCAAGAGTCATATAAAGGAAATTACTGGGGATCCTTTAGTGGAATTGAGAGGTTTTTAGTAAAGTGAACAAACCTTCCTGTAGACTGACTCAGTGTGATGCTACTAAGAATTTGGAAGTAAGGAAGGTCTCCCTGTAAGAGTTTACCTATAAGACTAACTCGTAGCAGAACAGAGATAAGCAAAATCACCTTTAAGAATCTGATTTTAACTCCCTGGACCTTGCAACCAGACTGAGTATAATAAGATACTAAAAGAAAAAAAGGATCTGTTGTCAATTGGATGTGGTAGAGAAGAGGAGGTACCTAAAGGTAAGAGCACAATGAAGAGCCACAAGGCCAAATTAATATGCACTGCATGTAACAATTTCCTAAGTTTGCTTGTTTTTTTTAAATATTGAATTATTAGGTTGAATTACCTCCTTTTGACCGTCTCAGATTGCTTATTTTTCAATTTAAGGTATTCTTGATTTTAAGCTATTAAAGAGAAAACTGGAATAAAATACTCATAAAACATCTTTGTACTTAACGAAAAACAAGTAAAATAACACAGTGAATGTTTCATTATCAAGATGCATTATCACATCTTATTCCTTATAAGCTTAAGCAAAATAAAAGTAATTTGATGCACTTAGGACGTTTTAGCTGTGTGAACTTGGGTAGGTCAATTGACCTCTCTAAGCTTTAGTCTCCAGTCTAAAATTCTCAGGATATTTCACATACAGATTACTATATGGATAAGTGTTCAAAGGTCTATATAGGGTTAACACAGTATTTGGCATATTCTAATAAAACTTCACCACTTGGTAACTAACCTTAGCTTTAAAAACCCTGTATTAAAAAATAACTTTGTAAAAATGATGTTGATAAATGTAGTGCTTTGAGAGTAGGCTAGAAAACGACATTTTCCTTCCACAAGCAGGAGCCCCCACAGTGCCAGTCTTTTCAGTTTCCTCCTACTCCCCCAGAGTAGAGGTAGAAAGATTTCACAAGGAGTGATGTTGAAGGGTGAATTGAGCCAATATACCGAGTGCTCTTGGCCATGCCTGAAAATCCCTTTAAGATATGACCTTCTCTGATGGGTGCAATGGCCCATGCTTATAACACCCACACTTTGGAAGGCCATGGTGGCTAGATCGCTTGAGCCCAGGAGGTCAAGACCAGATTAGGCAACATGGCGAAACCTCATCTCCACAAAAAATACACAAAGTAGCTGGGCATGGTGGCATGCACCTGTGGTCCCAGCCTCCCAGCTACGTGGGGGACTGAGGTGGGAGGATTGCTTGAACCCTGGGAGACTGAAGTTGCAGTGAGCCGTGATCGTGCCACTGCACTCCAGCTTGGGTGACAGAGTCAGACCTTGTCTCAAAAAAAAAAAAAAAAAGTCCTTCTTAGGTTATTCTGGAAAATTTTACCTAGCCTTGGCTTTAAGATGTCACTTTCTGAAATAGCAGTGCATTTATAGATGGTATTATGATGAGAAAAGCAATGTTACCAGGGTCATGGCATTATACTACGTAAGTCAAAACTACAGGAAAATAATCAGAGACAAAAACCAAAAAACTCATAGCTGAGTCATCTATGCTGATTAAGAGGAGGCATTATTCTCAGCTAAAGGCAGTTCTGTGGGTAGAAGTCAAATAGATGATTAGGTGTGGGGGTGACAGAGTCTTGAGGCTGAGATTACCTGCTACAAACAAAATCAGAAAATCCCAGTATTGAATAATGAGTGCAAAAGACAGCATTTGCCTCCCCCTTCATTCGTGACTCTTTTATGTAGGTGCTCAAAGGTTAGAATTCTAGCAGCCTAAACCCCTTCCCAGTGAGCTGGTTGGTAACTAATGGAGGGCAGACTATTTATTGATCAGTCAAGATGCTTGTGTTGCTATAATGGGGACAAAGAGGGTTAGAAAAGAAACCAAATCCACTGCCACTGAGAACTAGGTATTTGTTCCTGGATGCAAACCTAATTTCAGAAAGACAGGAAAACCCAACCCCCAAATCCTTTCTCTTTGTTATGTCTCATAAAAAAATTATTGTTTGGAAATCTCATTTTTCCTTTCCCTAAAATTCCTTTGTAGGGTTTCAGATCTTGTTCATTCCCTTGAGTTGGCCAAATAGGGAAGTAGAAATGACACCGAACACTCACCCTATGCCAAGTTCTTTGTATTGTCTTATCTATGTCTATTTATGAATAAACCTTCAAGGTTAGTGTTTTTATCTCAGCATTTCACATATGAGAAATCTCTTGGGAAGTTAAGACATTTAGTGCAAACTTGAACAGTCAGTAAGGCATGAGAGTAGGAAGAAAACACAGGTCTGTCTGACTTCACACTTCTTGCTATTTTTACCTGATCACAAAGCCACCTCTAATTTTGGTACTTGTAGCTAGGATCCCTCTAGCAGGGGCTCCATAAATTTGCTCCTAAGGTAAAGCCAACTGGGATGGTAATTCCCCATGATTACTGAGTGGGGGTTGCACAAAGAAAAGGAGATAGCCCTGCAGAGTCTCAGAAAAGACCTGAGGTTTTCCTTTGCAGAGAAATTCACCAACCCCTACTTCTTTTTTGTTTGTTTGTTTTGTTTTTGTTTTGTTTTGAGACAGAGTCTCACTCTCGCCCAGGCAGTGGTGCAATCAATCTCGGCTCACTGCAAGCTCTGCCTCCTGGGTTCATGCCATTCTCTTGCCTCAGCCTCCCAAGTAGCTGGGACTACAGGTGCCCATTACCATGCCCGGCTAATTTTTTTGTATTTTTAGTAGAGACGGGGTTTCACCGTGTTAGCCAGGATGGTTTCAATCTCCTGACCTCGTGATCCGCCCCCCTCGGCCTCCCAACGTGACGGGATTACAGGCATGAACCACCACACCCGGCCAACCAACCCCTACTTCTTAAGCACTGCCCCCACTGGGAGGGTTCAAGCTCCTTGGAGAACAAAAGAGTCATGTCTCCCTTTTCTATAGTGTCACTTCATGCACGTTTTATTTGCAGGGAAGGGGCATCTGTTCTCCCTCTGACATAGGAAAGACACTGTTACTCTATTTTAAAAAAAGAATCTGTTAATAATTAGGCAGGTAAGGGATTCTCAGTTACTCTGACAATGTTGAACTTGACTGAATGTAATAGTTTACTTTTACTATTCTTTCTTTTCCTTCCTTCCTGTCTATTTATTGCTGTCTAATAATATTGCTACTTTAAGTAATTAAAGTAGCAATAAATAGACAGGAGGGGAAGAAAAGAAAGATAGATGGATGAGACAGATAAGATAGATTAGATGTAGAGAAATATAGATATTTCTTATTTTAGTTCTGAAAACTTGATTTAACTTTCAAATATGAATGGAAATGTTAAAAAATGTCGGTAATATAGTCAAAAGATTTAGGGGTCCTTGCTGTGATTTAATGAAACTTGCAAATATCTCCAATCTGACAATTATCACACTGTTGTAATTATGTGTTTACCAATGTATTTGTTAGAATCGAGATCTCTCACTTTACTGAAATTACTCTTTAATATTCAAACACAATGTCTTAAAATGCCCCTCCTTTTTGAAACCTCTAGCACACAGTCCTAAGAATTCTATAGAATCTCCATGAAGGGCAGTTGTTTTTGTGAATACATTCTCAGTTGCTGCTTACTTACTTTTCTCTGTTGTTCACAGTTTGCACAGATTTTCTCAAAATTTGGTCCCTACTGAAGCAGCCTCATTGTCTGAGATGACACCCAAGTTTCGTGGTCTCACAGCCACGAAGATCAAGAATGTGGACACACAAAGAGTAAGGTTAACAGCAGAAATTTTACAGGCAAAAGAAAGAGAATAGGGCCGGGCATGGTGGCTAACGCCTGTAATCCCAGCACTTTGGGAGGCCGAGGGGGGTGTATCACTTGCGGTCAGGAGATCAAGACCAGCCTGGCCAACATGGTGAAACACTGTCTCTACTAAAAATACAAAATTAGCCAGGATGGTAGCACACGCCTATAATCCCAGCTACTCAGGAGGCTGAGGCAGGAGAATCACTTGAACCCGGGAGGCAGAGGTTGCAGTGAGCCAAGATCACACCACCGCATTCCAGCCTGGGTGACGAGGGCGAAACTCTGTCTCAAAAATTAAAAAAAAAAAAAAAGAAAGAAAGAGAATAGGTCTCTCTTACACAGCACGGTCCTAGAAAAACGGGTTGCCAATCTGCAGTCAAATGCAGGAGGTTTCATAGATGGGCTGGTGAGGAGGTGGTGTCTGATCTACATAGGGCTTGAGAAACTGGTTAGGACCAGCTGTGCCATTAACATAGGGCACAAATCTCTGGCAGCCCCCACCCCAATCTTTTATTATGCAGGTGGGTTCTCTGCCTGAGCTTCTTCATGCTGCCTAGTTCTTTTTTACTGTGCACATGCTAACAAAAAAGGGAAGGTGGAGCCCCCATGGTGGACAGGCCTGATCCCCAGGTAGCCCTTATCTATCAGCATAGCTGACAGCATTCCTCCATGCAAGTTTCCAGTTTTCTTATCTATGTTTGCAGCTCAATCTTTCAGGCTGATCTTTGTTAGGAAAAAAAAAATAGATTTCTTGGGGTGCTTTTTGTTAGAAGTGAAGTTCTGCCAAGGACTCTTTTGCCCTCACTATCTGCCTAAATAATTTCTTTCTATCTCCTGTATCACCATCTTCCCTCTCATGTGCCTTCTCCTCTGCCTCCTTCTCCTTTGTTAAAAGTTTTCTTTAAAAAAAAAAAAAAAACCGTTAAATCATGATGCCTAGAACAAACACAAAATGAACAACGCCAAAGATTTTCTTTAACCTATTAATGAGGGAACTAGTAAAATGTTACCACTGCTACAAATGAGAATTTTTAGAAATGAACACGCCAAAGAGTTTTTTAACTTATTAATGAGCGAACCAGTAAGATGTCACCACTGCTACAAATGAGAATTTTTGGAAATATACACATATATGCTAAAAAAAAATTTACAGCCAAAGCAAAAGTAGTCAATATCCACATGGCAGTAATCAACTACACCTCCGTACAATTTGCACTTTTTTAAACAAAAAGCATTTGCATCGTTACTGTTTTCTACCTTACATAGTTGTAAAATGGCTCACAGAAAATGAAAGGTGAGGCCGCGCTCGGCGGCTCACGCCTGTAATTCCAGCAATTTGGGAGGCCGAGGCGGGTAGATCACGAGGTCAAGAGATCAAGATCATCCTGGCTAACACAGTGAAACCCCATCTCTACTAAAAATACAAAAAATTAGCTAGGGCATGGTGGCAGCCCCCTGTAGTCCCAGCTACTCGGAAGGCTGAGGCAGGAGAATGGCGTGAACCCAGGAGGCGGAGCTTACAGTGAGCCGAGATGGCGCTGCCGCACTCCAGCCTGGGCTACAGAGCAAGACTCCGTCTCCAAAAAAAAAAAAGAAAAGAAAAGAAAAGGAAAGGTGAAAGTAACGAAAAAGAGTGTGTTAGACTATTGGACACTCAGTCACCGTTTTTGCCCATTAAAATGTTTTTCATGATTTATCTTGTATTTTCCCCTTTATTCTCCAAAGAAACTTGTTATTTTTAAGATAGTTCATTGAAGTTTTAGGACTTTAAAAATGTGGGACCATAATGGATAATCACGAAACATAGAAAAGCTGAAGATAACTTAGGATATTGAGTGCCACTTTACTTTGAATCCCCATCATCTATAGCAAAGAAATTCTCACTGGTAATCTTCCTCCTCAGAGAAGGGTCTTCTTCACCCACCGCCACTCTTCTCCATATCTGGATATTTTCCTTCTTTTATCTACTGGGAGGTCAACCTCTCTCTCTCTCATTCAGACTGGCACTAAAATGTATTGATCGAATCTAAAGACCTATTAGATATTTTCCCACAAAAAGACCAATTTTCTACATAAGGAGTATTCTGTCCCCACCACCCCGCGAGCCCAGGACAGTCTGCACGAAACTCTCAGCTTTGAAAATAAGAGGATTTTTTTCTACTTACACAAGCGTTCATGCTCTTTGAGAACAGCCTTTGAATTTTCAGCCCTAGCACACACTGAGTCTTCAATAAAATCCTGTTATTGGCCTGGCACGGTGGCTCACGCCTATAATCCCAGCACTTTGGGAGGCCGAGGTGGGCAGATCACGAGGCCAAGAGATTGAGACCATCCTGGCCAACATGGTAAAACCCATCTCTACTAAAAATACAAACATTAGCTGGGTGTGGTGGCGTGTGCCTGTAGTCCCAGCTACTCAGGAGGCTGAGGCGGGAGAATCGCTTGAACCCGGGAGGCGAGGGTTGCAGTGAGCTGAGATCGCACCACTGCACTCCAGCCTGAGTGACAGAGCGAGACTCCATCTCAAAAACAACAACAACAAAATCCTGTTATTGTACAACTTAGATAAACAAAACCATTAGATTTCACATGAAACTTGGAAGTCTTCCTTCCTTCTACTCTAGACCCTCAGCTTCCCACATCAAGATCTGGCCTGGCTCATGTCTCTCTAAACCTTGTGGAGTTTGCATTTTTCTTACCAAAGAGAATTTGCTCTTGATTTATACAAAAAAAAAGACCTCTTCTCCCATCCCAAGTACACTTTCAACAGTCTGCATTCCCTATCTAGGCTGTGGCTGAGTAAGAGCTAGAGAGAAAACCTGGCTGATAATTAAAATAATGACAATTAGAAAGCTAAAAAATAATTCAAATGCAATGTTTCTTGTACTTTATCGTTATTTGATGTATTTCCTGAATGTGAAAAGCTAAACGCTCAACCTTGTTATTGCAGAAGTTTTCTATTTTTGTAAGAAAAAATAAAACTCACTCATGAAAAGATGAATTCATTTATAAGATAATTGCAGCAAATACAGAGACATTCTTGAGAGGAAGCTCAGATCGATACCTAATAAAAAGAAGAGCCACTGGGAACTGGAAACCAAAGATTATTTTTGTTCCTAGATTTGTGTTTTTATTTTTTTAAAGTTGCAAACGTTAAAAATTAAATATATAAAGTGGGGCTTGGGACATGTGTTCATACAGATTATATAAGTGGTGGGTTGTTGGTTTTCCAACTTTAGAGGCAAAGCCCTCTCGTAAGGTCTGTGGCTGGTATTTGGTGACCTATGGCCTATAATTTGGGGCTACACATCCCGGAAGTTCTTTAGGTTTTCATAAATTATCTGAAGATACACAAGAGAAGGGGTTCCCTATCACATGTTCCTCATAACTATCTTAGGGAGAATTCTTGTCTTCAATTTTCAGATGGTAAAAATTTACTCAAAAAAGTGAACTAGCTTGCCCAAGGTCACGTCACTAAGAGCCCAGGTTGGAATGTAGGTTTCTATGGCTCTAAGTTATCCTATACACATTCGGTTCTCTACTGTATCATGCTATAACTATTTCATTAGTCAAAAAGCATGTTATCTTAAAAATACTCAGAAATTCGGAAAACATTATGTTACAGGATTGTTAGAGCATACTTAAGAAGAAGAAAAACAAGAAGTAATAACGAACAGCTCTTCTGTTCATCATATAGACTTTTCTATTTATTCTCCTTTCATATGTTTCAGTGACCTCAGCTTATTCTCCATTCCCCTTTTCATCATCCTCGTCCAAGCCCTAACCACTGTATGCCTGAATTGCTATAGCAACTCCCTGGGCTCTGTGACCCAGTATAGATCAACCCTTGATTTTCCCCTCAACACACACACTGTCTAGACCATCCTCCCCCAGCACCATATGCATTCTGACACCTTCTCATCCTACCAAGCCTGTGCTCTAGCTTGGACTACCCCATCCCTCATGAATACTCTTCTGCATTCCTGCAGGACTTAGGGCTCTCCTGTATTCGTTCTGTTCCTTAGTTAGATGATACTCTCTTTGAAGGGATGGAGTGTCAAGACTTGATAGGCAGAATGGTCTCTCCAGCATCCAGCACAGCCCTGAGCTCAGAGCAGGCAGTCAGTGCATCCCAAGGGACTCTGATTAGAGTGAGAATGTTCACAGAGGACAAAAAGATTTTGAAAGTGAATAAAATGCCTTGGTATAAAGGGGAGTGTGATATAAAGAGGAAAAGAAATAGAAATTTTAATAGTGGTCAAATACAAAAATAAATGAAAATGACTTTGGAACTAGTGACCCAAATCTCAAGGATGCCAATATAAAATATTCCGGAAAATTGCCCTTTACAATGACTCCTCAGGGTTACTGTGGACCCTCCCAATATCACTGTCCCCCTCACAATTTCTTCCAACAAGACATAAGTAGGCCCTGGCAAAGCATGACTTTTTGTAACCAAATAATCCCATTTTTCTAAGAGATAGTTTATATTTTTTCTCTCTCTTCCTTTCTTTTTCCTCGTTTATCCCAGTGCCTACTTAGCTCTTTGGAAAGGCAGTTATAGCCTTTTACCTCCCCTTCACCAGATACTCCCTTCAGGGTGAGTTTATCTAACCACGTGCTTGGAAGTCCCAAAGTGGAACTCTCACCCACCAGGAGGTTGCCCCAAGAAACAACAGTCCAGGCCGGGCGCGGTGGCTCATGCCTGTAATACCAGCACTTAGGGAGGCCGAGGCGGGTGGATCACCTGAGGTAAAGAGTTCGAGACCAAACTGGCCAACATGGTGAAACCCCATCTCTACTAAAAAGACAAAAATTAGCTAGGCATGGTGGCGCATGCGTGTAATCCCAGCTACTCGGGAGGCTGAGGCAGGAGAATTGCTTGAACCCAGGAGATGGAGGTGGCAGTGAGCCAAAATCACGCCATTGCACTCCAGCCTGGGTGACAGAGCAAGACTGTCTCAAAAAAACAAAAAAACAAAAAAAAAAACCAGTCCATCTACAACCCAAAGTATACCCACTACAAGACTCTCCCACCTGGAGAGTTTTCAGCCACGTTTACAACCTAGTCCTGCCCAGGAAGGCACCAAAAGTCACCCGCTTGACCACCTGGCAGATAGGGCCTGACGCCGATATGTGGACTCTCCACCTGCTTGATTCCGCCTCTGTATGCCATTAATGCCAGGCTTTCCCCGTTAAAGGCACCCACTTTCTGCTCCAAAAGTGAAGCAGGACCTTTCAGGCAGGAAGCCTGTGCTGCTTCTCCTAAGCTAACTACGGAATAAAAAGTCACTTTCTTTATACCAGACCTTGCTCTTGCTAATTGGAGTTTGTAAGCAGCGAGCAACTGAACTTGTGTTTCGGTTAATTTTAAGGTCCACATCCTTCATGCAAGTATAGACCTCAGATCTTAAACATATAGAACCCCAGGAGTGACCAGTTCACTGAGCATGGATGACGATGGACCCAAGCCAGTCACAATATGGTAAACAACGAATGATATCTGAGATACACAGGCCTGAACTTGCTTGTCAGGTCCATCTATTAGCAGATGGGACATCCAGGCAGGTTGTGGCCACTGCCAGATGGGGGCCCATGCCAGGCTGCCTGGGCTAAGGTCTGCTTAGAGGAGCCCAAGTAGTTGATGTTGCCAGTTTTAACAAGCATGGAAAAAAAAAAAAAGCAAATAAGAATATAAGTCTCAAACCTGTGCAGGCTCAGAATACTAGTCAGTGCAAGCTTATTTTTCAGGAGTTCTGGGGGAATCTTTAGCTAAGGTCTCAAAACTAAAAAATATGTTGAACTAACCCCAAACATGCATTCCCATGTATATTTGCCCAAGAAAGTCCATGAAATGAAACTCAGCTTTTCTGACTTGTCCCTATTTAGGAGCTTTCAATATTTTCCCAATAGTCCGTAGATATCATGTGACCACACTCAATCTATTCCATTTCCCATTTCTTGTCAGGCCTCAATGAACTGTGACTCAAATTATATTGTGTACCTCATTCTCTGTCTCTTCCAAACTCACAACCAATTCTCCCAACCCAACTGCTCACTGGGTTACTAGACAGTTTCTCCATTAGTGATCTATCTGAACTTTCCAAATATGTAGCCGTTCCAATACTGTTTTAAAATACCATAAGGATTTTTTTCTCTTATAGTCCCTAAAAGATTATACTAAAAAGTATTCTTTCATGTATTCATTCTTTTTTATTATTATTATACTTTAAGTTCTAGGGTACATGTGCACAACGTGCAGGTTTGTTACATATGTATACATGTGCCATGTTGGTGTGCTGCACCCATTAACTCATCATTTACATTAGGTATATCTTCTAATGCTATCCCTCCCCCGCTCCCCACCACACAACAGGCCCCAGTGTGTGATGTTCCCCTTCCTGTGTCCATGTGTTCTCATTGTTCAATTCCCACCTATGAGTGAGAACATGCGGTGTTTGGTTTTTTGTCCTTGCCATAGTTTGCTGAGAATGATGGTTTCCAGCTTCATCTATGTCCTTACAAAGGACATGAACTCATCCTTTTTTATGACTGCATAGTATTCCATGGTGTATATGTGCCACATTTTCTTAATCCAGTCTATCATTGTTGGACATTTGGGTTGGTTCCAAGTCTTTGCTATTGTGAATAGTGCTGCAATATCCAGAATCTACAAAGAACTCAAACAAATTTACAAGAAAAAAAACCTCATCACAAAGTGGGCAAAGGATATGAACAGACACTTCTCAAAAGAAGACATTTATGCAGCCAAAAGACACATGAAAAAATGCTCATCATCACTGGCCATCAGAGAAATGCAAATCAAAACCACAAGGAGATACCATCTCACACCAGTTAGAATGGAGATTATTAAAAAGTCAGGAAACAATAGGTGCTGGAGAGGATGTGGAGAAATAGAAACACTTTTACACTGTTGGTGGGACTGTAAACTAGTTCAACCATTGTGGAAGTCAGTGTGGCGATTCCTCAGGGATCTAGAACTAGAAATACCATTTGACCCAGCCATCCCATTACTGGTTATATACCCAAAGGATTATAAGTCATGCTGCTATAAAGACACATGCACACATATGTTTGTTGCGGCACTATTCACAACGTATTCATTCTTTCAATAGACAGTGAACACTTACAACTTGCCTGGCACTGTGCTAGGCTCTGGGAAAGTAATCCACTGAGAAAATGATCCTTGTGTTCAAAAATGAATACAATTACTATGTTCCTGAGGGAAACATAGTAACTCCCCCAGGAGCTTACACAATACCAATTAAAGGACAAAGCTTCCAGTTGTCGTATTATATTCCTTCACCCTCATTAATACACAAAGAATCACTTGAATTCTCTCCCATATTATTCTACTGTTGCTCATAAACTTTAAAAACCAAATGCTGAGTGATAGATTATTATTGTATTTTGTCTATATTTAAAGAAAGGAGGCAAAGTCAGGGGAATCTCTGGAGATATCAAGTTCACTTTGGATGAAGAAATTTTACTTTGCCGTCACACAACTTGATTCATTTCAAAACCAGTAATCCAGTCTGAAATTCTGCAAATGCACCAAGTCAGAATCCTATCATTTGGGGTAACTTTCATGCTGGGAGTTTATATAAACTGCTCTTTCTACATAAAATCTTCATTCTAACTACTATGTAATTTCTAAAGCTATTATATTTTTTTAAGCCCACCCAAAATACAGCCTGAGGAAAGCTGATGACTAAAGGAAACAGACATGGACAATAGGTACAGGGAGACCAGCACATTCTGGAATATTTCGAGATCAGGCCACTGAGTAAAGCGGCCCAAGTCTTTTCTAAAATGAGGATGGCCTTTTATCTGCTGGTACTCAGAATCCGTTCCAAAAGGGAGCTTTGAACTCTTGCACTGGGCACAATTCCCAGGAGTCCCACATTTCTTCCTCTGGCCAAGGACCAACAAGCAACAGATTGAAGAAGAGGCTGGGCTTTGTTTGTTTGAAGCATTCCATGTTTTCTGGCTCTAGGTTTTGGGGCTGTCCGCCATGTCATGAGTTATCTTTTCAACCAACCCAAGAGCTTTCTTCCGAAAACAGTTTCAGCCCAGAGTTATGAACCATAGTTCAGGTTCCAATTCTGCCACTTCACCTTCCTTAATAGTTACTAAAAGTTTCAGAGAAAGTAACAGCTGGGTTTCCACATTAAATTAAGTGCCTGTGATAGGGTGTCCTGCTCTGTGGTTAAATATTTCCTTTAAAAACAGAGCACAACCTGAAGACCATGATCATCAAACACTGCACTTTGAAACTAATGAGGAGTTTTAGCCAAAAACAACTGCAGAACTACGGCCCTGCTCAAATGCTACAGGAACGACTTTCCCAAAAAAATGATACTTGAAAAAGCATATGCATATATATGAAATGTGAAAGCATATAAATATATATGAAATGTGAAATGGAATAACATTATTTGGGGGACATATTGCTATTAAAATATCAATATAGCAACAAGTTGCCTTTCATGGATCTTTTAAGAAGCAATTCCTTACTTCTCAGGGTTTGAGCAACTCTCAAAGTAAGGCATCCATGTCATTCTGTCACAGAATTGGATTGTGTCCCAAAGGAGGCCTGGCTCCTGCAAGATTCTCCCTAGTCAAAACTGGCTTCCCTATATGATCTCCCAATCCCACATCTGTTTGAATTAATAAAAAGGTCATCTCTTAAGATGCAAACAGCCTGTGAGAGGAATAAACACAGCAGACTTTTGACCTAGAGTGTTGGATGTATGGACACATTTATTTACTTATATATTATTTATATTTTATCATTTTATTTTATTTTTTAGAGATGGGGTTCTCACTCTGTCACTCAGGCTAGAGTGCAGTAGAACAATCATAGCTCTCTGTAACCTCTAACTCCTGGGCTCAAGCCAGCCTCCTGCCTCAGCCTCCTGAGTAGCTGGGACTACAGGTGCATGCTACCATGTCTGGCTAATTTTTAAAAATTTTCCTTGTAGAGATGGGGTCTTGTTATGTTGCCCAGGCTGGAGTGTCAGATTTATTAACTCAACAACTTAGTTTGCTCTGAGGAAAAGGAGGTTATGACGGAGGGTAGGGATGGGAAGAGAACAGAACGAACAGGCATTTTCAGATGTGGCAGACCCGTGAGGCTTTGCCCTGACCCAGGGAAACATCCACACACCAGCTCACAGGCATCTTCTGGGATCAGGAAAGGGGGCACGAGGAAGTAGATGGGGGAGGTGGAGCCATTCTAAGCCAACACTTCTGCCTTGACATTTTCATAGGTCCTTGGTGGCTGCCATTCCTGCTCCAACACCACAGGAAAGTGTGCACAATGATTATTTTCTATAAGCAGAGAAAATATTCTTTAAGTTTCAGTGACTGACATGGAGCTTCCTCAAGTTCACTGAGAAGGAGGTGTCTGAGCAAAGGTGAGAAAGGGAGTGAGTGGTGTGGCTCTCTAGGGATAAGCTTTCCAGGAAAAGACAACACGAGTAGACACCCTGCGGGGAGCAAGCTTGGTGAGTTAGGGAGGACATAAGAAATGGGAAGATTGGGCTTGGAAGGAAGGTCAGATCTTGAAGAGTCCTGGATGTGATGGTCAGGGCTTGCATTTTTATTTCGCAGGAAATGGGCAGCGTTGAAGGGTTTTGAGCATGGGAGTGTCATAATCTGTCGTCAGTTTTAAAAGGTTCTTGCTGCTGTGTTGACAACAATCTTTCCCAAAGAGCCATTCCTTGTGAGGAATTTTCTTTCCTCTATTAAATCCAAAGTCATCTCACCATATCCACTGGCAAAGTTATTCTTAATAACTCCAAGAATGCATCTCAGAAGCATCCCAAACAAAGTGCAAATCATGATATGTGTTATATTTGTATAGCTTTACTTGTATCAGTTGACTAAATCAAGTATTGGGGCTGGGCGCAGTGGCTCACGCCTGTGATCCCAGCACTTTGAGACCCGAGGTGGGCGGATCACCTGAGGTCAGGAGTTTGAGACCAGCCTGGGCAACATGTGAAACCCTGTCTCTACCAAAGAATAGAAAAATTAGCCAGGCATGGTGGCAGGTGCCTGTAACCCTGGCTGCTAGAGAGGCTGAGTCAGGAAAATCACTTGAACCCGGGAGGCAGAGGTTGCATTGAGCCAAGATTGCGCCACTGCACTCCAGCCTGGCGACTGAGGGAGACTCTGTCTCCAATCAATCAATCAATCAATCAATCAAATGTTGGGAAAACACTTATCATTTACAAATGTCCAATAAAACCCGGTTGGTCATCACATCAACCTGGCCTCAGTTTCCTTATCTATCAATCAAACAAGGCATTTGAACTGGTGTATTCATTCATTTTATCAAATATTTATTAATAATTACTTCTATGAAGAGCCAGGAACTATAGTGGGGAAAGATCATCTTTTTCTTTGAGGAGTTCATATTCCACTGGTGAGAGATCATAAACAGCCTACAAAAGAGAGGCAGGCTTTTTTGTTTTCTTTTGGTGAGCAGAAGTGCATATTTTAAACATTTCAACAGAAAAGAGCTATTGAATAGGAAAAAGTGGAAGATCACAAACAGGAAGAAGAAAATTCATAGACGATGCTGTCTGAAAAGGATGGGAAATGACTCCCAGACCTAGAGAAAGAAGATGAATGTATAAGGTTTTCATGTTGGAACATAAGAGAACTGTCATATAAAGGCTTCAGTTTTCCCTCTGTAGTAGAATGCGCAACCTTGTTGAGAGTGAGGAGAATTCTATGGGGTAGGAAGTCTGCAAAAAGCAGTGAAGTCTGGAACTAACCACTGCAAGGGTGGGAGAATGAGATCCCAAGTGTTAACGCTTAGTGGTAGCAATCTGCTTTTGTGAGGTTTTTGTTTTGCTTTGTTTTGGTGGTTTTGTTTGTTTGTTTTCCAGAGAGTAGCAATAGGTAGAAAGTAAAAACAATTTAGTTGGTTCAAGGTTGGAGATTTGCTGCACAAACATGATTTGAAGACCGAGGAGGCAAGACGGGGAAGAAATGGACAGAGAGCAACCGACACGAAGAAACATTCATTTTTGGCTGAATAGGGGGGCATGGGAGGAGTGGGGGAGATCACAGCAAGGGTGGAAGTTGGAGACGGAGTGTTAAGGGATCAGATATCTCAATGAGACAATGGCAGGTAGTAGGACAACCTGAGAAAGCTGGAATGAGGATGACAGCATTTGGTACTCTCAGCAACAGTTGGGGTCAACATTACTATTTCCACTTTACAAACAAGGAGAGACTCTTGGAGAAGTTAAGCCACACAGATGATAAATGGTTGGTCAGATTGAGACAGAGACAGAGACACAGAGACAGAGAGACAAGGTGTCGTCAGAGAATGTGACATTTGGATGTCCAGTTTGAGTGATATATCTGGGGTATGCAGACGAGAGTAAGAAGTGAGAGAATGAGGAAGGATCAGAATTCAGGTGGTCCAAGAACTGAGAGATTAGAGTATAGGATGTAAAGGTGCTTATGCAGACAGTGAAGGTAGTCGAGATTCTGATTGGGTTTGGGGCTACAGAAGATCATGTCTCAAGGTCCCTTGTATCTCTAACATCACATTATTTGGATTTATAAAAGAAACCAACAATTAAGTGATGACTTTTTAGTGACATCCACTGTGTAATATTAGATAACAATTGGTTAAGAATTCCTTTATTTTACTAAAGCAACCCAGTGTTGATCTTCATCGAAATATTGTGTCATGTCATTGTGGGACGCGTGATACATTTTGATTTGGAAATCAATCTGACCAACCACTTATCATCTGTGTGGTTTAACTTCTCCAAGAGTCTCTCCTTATTTGTAAAGTGGAAATAGTAATGTCGACCTCAGCTGTTGCTGAGAGTGCCAAATGCTGTCACATATATATGAAATGGATACCTAAGATGATCTTCCGGGTACCCATTCCTCCCTGCCTGCCTCTCCCTGTCCATCCCTGGATCCAAATGGGAGTTACTATATTAATAAAACATGTTCCTCTCTCTGGTCCCAGTTGACTAGTCCCAGCGGGGGACACCTGGCCCAGGTGAGGCCAAAAAGCTTCATGAGACAAAGGCAGGTAGTATTTTGTACATGAACTAGAATGAATACAGTTCATCTTTCTCTCCTGGCTGAAATCCTAGGGTGTGAAATACCAATGGCACTAGCTTTTGGAGAGAAGTGGAGTTCATCTACTGACAGGAGCCAGGAAATTCTCTCTCTTGCCTGAATGACAGGGCTGGCTTGCTTAAAAGTCTCATGAAATACAGAGTGTAAAAGTTAATAGCAGAACACCTGACATATTTCATGGGTTTCATAATTTCTGTTACTTTTTTAAAGTGTTGTTATGTAGGACAGAAATTGGGAGTCAAAAGAAATCTATGTGATTTGTCAGACATGACCTGGGAGTGAGAGAAGCAGAGAGAGACAGAGACAGAGAGACAGAGAGAGACAAGACAGAGACAGACAGAGACAGAGAGAGACAGAGAGACAGATACAGAGAGACAGAGAGAAACAAAGACAGACAGATACATAGAGAGAAAGACAAAGAGGGACAGAGGCATAGAAGGACAGAGAGACAGAGAGACAGAGACACAGACTGAGAAAGAGCAATGGAGGGAAGGAGGAGAAAGAATAGGAACACAAACAAAGTAGAGGGGCAAGAAGGCTAGAAGTAACAAATGAGAAGGGTACCCAAGCTGAAAAGATAAACAAATCTATACAGCCCCTCAAAGATCCAGAACGTGCTTCCCATCTTCCTATCTCCACCCTCTACTTTCAGCTGAGATCTAAGCGGCTTCGGAGAAGACATGATGCAAATATCAGCTATCCTAAAACCAGAAGGATATGAGAGAAGAAACTTGGTGATCCGGAGCTGAAACACAGCCCCAAGGAGCCAGAAAATGGGGGAGGACGACTGTTCAGCTGAAAAGTGTACCTTATAATTCAGAAACCTTAGTCACCAGACTCTGAGAACAGATAACAAGAGTGGGAGGAAGGACTGGGGAGCAGCACGGGGAAATATTTAATAATGCTCTCGAGCTCTAAAGCATCAGTCACAATGCTCTTGACAAACTCCCAGCCTTATGGAACCATCAGAAAACCAAAGAACCAACTCACGGGGTAAAGCAAATAGATCCATGTTGTATTTTGCAGTGCACATAGAACTGACATCCAACTGATTGAGATTTTTGGCGTTGGAAACTATTTTTGAAAATCACCTACCACTGGGCATAATTATGTTCAGTCTTTACAGAAATCTGTAAAATATGGCTCAATTCTGAACATAGCCATGTCCTGTCCAAACAGCCCCTCCAAAGCTTGCTCCATTGTTTCACTCTATCTCAAGGTCCTTATGGCTCTAAACACAAATTTAAGAAAAAAGTGAATTAGGTTTTTAAAAATTTGCTCTATGGGAGACGACACAAAAAACAAATGTGAATGCTGAAATCGTCCATGCACACTAATCATTCCATATTTATATTTTACACGTTCCCATCAAAATGATGACATAAACGTTGTTAAACATATACAGAAATTCACAGAGCCCTGAGAAGACATCCCCAAATACCTCAAGGTCCGTGAGCTCCAGTTTTAGGTTGAGGGAGCCATTTCTCAGTTTGGAGCACGGTCAGACTACTTTTTGCTGACACTGTGTGGGAGGAACTGGTTGGGTGAGGGAGAAGCTAGAGGCAGCTGTAATTCAGTAGCCATGAAAATAGTTGAGGCAGAAGGTGAACAGGCTAAAAATCTGGTATTGGAAGGAATGGGAGGACTTTTGAAAGAAGGGTGGAAGGCAGGCAGGATTCACAGATCCTCATGGCTCACAAGCGGTGGAGAACCGAGAGAAAAGAAAGAAACAGTGGTTCCAAGTATAAGCCACATAATACACATACATTTAGGTTTCAAGGGACATGATTAGAACTATTGTATTGTAGCAAGACGTTTCTGTGTACAATTGATTAAACAAAAATCTCTAGAAGGAATACTTAGTCCCACTTCAAGTGGGATTTGTAATTAGAAGCCTTGGATCCTGTCTGAACAGCTGGAGGGCCTTGAGGCCACTGTTCTGGGGCCCTCTGTTTCCTTCTCTGTAAAATGGCCAGCGGGGTGGGAGAGTGAATTAGACGCTCGCAATCACACAACAAACTGACAGAAAGATCCAGGGGAAAACAAAATGGCCCCAGACACAAGTGCATTCTGGAAATCCTCTTCACAACATGTACCAGGTAACATGAACTCAGCTTTTACAACAGAGAAAGATGAAGTCAGAGATAAGATTTTTGAAAAGTAATTTAAAATAATTGATATGTTTTCTGCAAACTGAAGTAAGCAGCTTGACTTTCAGAATAAATGGCCACTTACAGCTGTCATGTCCTAACAGGACCACCTGCACAACCATCTCGATTGTGTGTTTTTCTGTTGCCCCCATATGCTGCAGACTGCCCCAAATCACAGAATGAATTTCCACACAAAAGAACCTTTCTTCTGGCTCTAGCAGCAGTTGAATTAGATAGTGGTTGGAGATCGGCACATTTGTATTATTGTCACACTGAGGTTTGATTTTTTCTACTGGCACAAAGTCTTCTAAAAAGGAATGGAAAATTACCCCTGTTTACTTCAAGGAACCATGCTGATTTCCTCGAAATATGCAACACACCAGTGTTGCTCAGGGCAACTAATTTAATTCACAGAGTTCCTGCCTATGATTGATAGCTTAAGAAAGGGTAAAATTTATTTGTAATCGACTTGAGATTGGATTATAATAGGTATATAGAAAGACATCAAGCAGTTAGGACAGCGGCCATGGATATTAGATCTGTTTAGCTAGTTGAGAAAAGCCTATTGCATAAGTTTGAGCTCTGGTGAGAAGTTGCATGTAAGCTATAGGATAACTTCTAAGAAAAAGATTGACTGGAGGCATAGAAATAACTAAACAATTCCAGCTAATGCATTTTCTCACAGTGAACAGATGTCACTACATAAAATTCCATCCAAAGCATTTCAACAAAAGGCTCCCAGACTAGGTTAAAAGTAAGTCAGACACAGGTATTTGGTGTGTGTTAGTGCAAAAGACAGTCTGAAGTAGATTGGAGATACCACTAAATCAGCCCAAGACCCCAAATTATATATATATATATAAATGAAAAAATATATTTATATAAAATAATTGTATGATATACATAATTTAAAAATATATATATAATTTAAAATATATATTATATACTTACAGTGATATATTGCTGGATGTAGCTATAATTACTATTGTTTCATTGGTTTACTTTTCTTTTGAAGAAAATAAGCAACGGGTAAAACTTTTAAAAACATATGTTTTCAACTAAAGTAATGCCTCCAGATGAATTGTTTATTGAACATAGCTCCCAGTAAACACAAATTTGCTAGCTAAGTCTGCTGTTTGACAGTAATCACTGCTGAGTCACAAGTGACTCTGACTTCTGATTGCACTCAGAGTTGATCAGAAGCCCTGGAAAGTAACTGCAACATTCATGTTTTCAGTATTTTTTTTCTCAGATGAAATAGACAATTTATGCTATTGTGTTCCTTTTGTATCATGCACATACTTATATCACAGCCACTTGGCACTGTATTTTACTTAACTTCCATATCTGACCCCTACCAGCTTGAATGCCTTTGAGAGCAAAGAATGTCTCTATTTTGAGCTCCTGGCCAGGTGCCTGGCACACTGTTAGTATTCAATAAATGTTCATTGAAGGAATTAATAAATGAATGAATAAGTGCTTTCTTCAATTTTTGCTGATCTTCACACATCAAAACCTAATACAGTTGTAGAAAGTCATTGAAGGGGATCAGAATATGTCACCCTAACATATGCCATTTTGGCATAAAGATGATTTAGAGCTGAAGGCTACTGAGAATCAACAGATGCAGGAAGAGTTATCTATCTACCTAAAAGTAGCTGACAAATTTCCCTTTGTGAGGGTGTTCCCTCCACCCTCGCCAGAAAGAGGAAAAATTCTTATCGTTGGAGACTGGGCGTTGACACTGAGACAAGTCTGTAAACCGATCTTACTGAAATAACTCTTATTTTCCAACAGTTCCACTATATCAACCTTGTTCAACCCACTGCCCATGGGCTGCATGTGGCCCAGGATGGTCTTGAATGTGGCCCAACACAAATTTGTAAACTTTCTTAAAATATGAGTTTTTTTTGGCAATTTTTTTTTAGCTCATCGGTTATCATTTGTGTTAGTGTATTTTATGTGTGGCCCAAGACAAATTCTTTTTCTTCCAGTGTGGCCCAGGCAAGCCAAAAGATTGGACATCTCTTCCCAATACATTTTCTCCTAAATAAATTCCCCACAATTTGTTGTTCCTTGAAGCCCTAACCACATTTCCTTTGTTAAAAGGGCATAAAAGCCCAAGTCTAACTGCTTCTTTGAATTTTACTTCCTTTCTGTGAACACCAATAGATATTCATACAAATTGTGTTTTTCTCCTGTTAATCAATCTTTTGTTACTATAATTTGCAGGCTACCAGGTACTGAACCCAAGAGGGTAAAGGTATTTTTTCTTTGATATCATTAATTTTATTCTTATTTTTTATATTCATAAAAAAAATTTTGTCCTGGCTGTACTGACTTTCTCATTCTTTATTTCCTCTTTTAATATTTCAAAGTATAATATAAAAGTAACAAACTTCTACCTTGACCACATGGGATGCTGTTTAAAGACTTTTTCTTCTTCTTAATATCTCAACCCAGAAAACAAACTCAAAAAGTCTCTGCTTCTTGCCCCGCCTTTATTATATCCTTTATTTTTACATATTCGGGGACTACAAAGCACATTTTCACCTTTATATTACTTTTGTCTGTTATCCTGTCAATTTTCACTGTCTTGGAGAACTTTTGATTATAGATTTGGCAATTTTCTTCTTTCCAAAGCCTCCTCTAAATTCTCTTTGCTTAGGTGTATGGGGACCAGTATCTTAAAAGGGACTTTTGGCAAAGGAGCTTCTCATTTGTCACTCGCTTTGCCCTGCTAAAGTGTAATTTTTTTTTTTTTTGGTAGACACAGGATCTTGCTCTGTCACCCAGGCTGCTGTGCAGTGGTGTGATCTCAGCTCACTGCAGCCTTGACCTCCTGGGCTCAAGTGTTTCTCCCATCTCAGCCTCCTGAGTAGCTAGTACTACAGGCATACGCCACCATACCTGGCTAATTTTCATGTTTTTTTGTTTGTTTGTTTTGTTTTTTTTGTAAAGATAGGGTCCTTGCTTTGTTGCCCAGGCTGGTCCCAAATGCCTGGCCTCAAGCAATCCTCCTGCCTTAGCCTCCCAAAGCAGTGGGATTACAGGCATGAGCCGCTGCACCTGGCCTAAAGTATAATTTTTAAAAAGTTAAAAACATGACTCTCATTCTTCTCCATCATTCATCTGACAAGGATCACCAAAACAGACCATAAAACTAAATCCCATTTTTGCAAATAATGTTGAATGGCTTAGTGGCTTAGTATGAACAAGAATCAAAAACAAATACATGCACAAAACCCCCAAAATAATAGAGAGGATAAAATAACCTAAAGAATCAGAGAGTCAGAAAAGTTAAAACTCTATTGCTTTTTAATATTCCATCTGGGAGCCAAGAAAAGGCAGACCTGGGCTTGCAAAGCCCGTGAAGTGTACTACTCAGGCAAGGCATTTTAATCAGGCTTCTAGGTGAGTCCACGTGAGATTTTTTTTTTTTTTTGGAGATGGAGTCTTGCTCTGTCACTCAGGGTAGAGTGCAGTAGCGCGATCTCAGCTCACTGCTGCAACCTCCGCCTCCTGGGTTCAAGCAATTCTCTGCCTCAGCCTCCTGAGTACCTGGGATTACAGGCGTGCACCACCTCACCAGGCTAATTTTTATATTTTTAGTAGAGACGGGGTTTCACCATCTTGTCCAGGCTGGTCTTCAACTCCTGACCTCGTGATCCACTCACCTTGGCCTCTCAAAGTGCTGGGATTACAGGTGTGAGCCACCACACCTGGCCCACTTGGGTATCTTACTGCAGCCTCCAAAATACCTAAGGTATAATTTTTTAAATGTTAAAAACATACATCTCATGCATATATAAAAATTAAGATGTTTGAGATTTTATCCAACTCAATCAATGAAAGAATTAGTAAGATTCTAAGATATATTCAAAGAGACTTTGAAGAACAGAGATCTAGTCAGCTAAGAATACTGAAATAAATTTACTAATAGATATAAAATGTGTTAATATCTTATGGGGCAATGAAACGTAATATTTGAGATTATCTTTTATAACAAGATGAAATGAATGGTTTCTCTAATAGAACAAAGTTTATTTGCATCACTGCAGGCAAGAATTATTTGCATTTCTATCAGCTTTCTGCATGTTAACTTCCTCCTTTACAGAGCTGGAAAATTGCCTAGATAATAAAAAGTCAGTCAAGCTGGGCATGGTGGCTCACGCCTATAATCCCAGCACTTTGGGAGGCTGAGGTGGGCAGATCACAAGATCGAGACCATCCTGGCCAACATGGTGAAACCCCATCTCTACTAAAAATACAAAAATTAGCTGGCCATGGTGGCGCGTGCCTGTAGTTCGCCTGTAGTCCCAGCTACTCAGGAGGCTGACGTAGGAGAATCGTTTGAACCCAGGAGGCGGAGGTTGCAGCGAGCCGAGATGGTGCCACTGTGGTCCAGCCTGGCAACAGAGTGAGCCTCCATCACAAAAAAGAAAAAGAAAAAAAAAAGTGTCAGTCAAAGGTGCACAGCCCTATAGAACCAGAGAATTCCTGGAGGGTTTTGCCAACCCTTTGCTGGAACGACACTCAATAATCTCTTTTGCTCATTTCCAAGTCTTGGACAATTTTTCCTGACACCCTTTGAAAATCAGAGTGATCTTCCATCCCTCCTAATCTTCCTCTCTCCCTTTCTTGTTTTTTAACTCCTCAGATATTACTGATCATTTTCTGTGTTCTAGATCAGCACTGACCGGTAGAACTTTCTGTGATGATAGAAATGCTCTGTGTCTATGCTATCCCGTATGGCATCTATTAACCACACGTGGCTTCTGAGCATTTCAAATGTGGCTGGTGTGACTCAGGAATTTTTAATTCGATAAATTTCAACCGACTTAAATATACACAGTCACAGGTGGTGGTGGCTACTGTAAGGAAAGGCACTATTCTAGCTACTGTGTGGGACTCATCAAAATGTAAGCTGTTGTTTCCTCCCACCTCCCACTCTTTTTTCCCCTCCAAGGCTTACATGTTTATAGAGAAGCTAAGGTTTGTTTGAAAATCACTGTTCTAGAAGGTAGCAGATGAACAGTATGGCATGCTCTGTGAACTCAGAGGGGAGACGGCTTCAAGCTGGGGTGATCTGTAAAGGTTTTTGACGATGTTGGGTAAGACTCAGACTTGCTAAGATGTCACAGAAAGACATTCTGGAGGAGGAAACTGCAGAGCAAAAGTGAGGAGGCAGGTGGGTGCAACTTATGGTTTTGAATGATGGGGTTACCCTGGTGGCTCAGAGCATCCAATTTAAGTAGGCAGGCTGTGAAATCTCGAGCTAGAAAAGAAAGGGGCTTGAAACAAACAGAAAAGTCCTTTGAAAATCACTGAAGAATTTGGGACTTTCTCCTATAAGTGATGGGAAAACATTGAAGGCTTTATGTTGGGGGGTGACATAACCAGATTTTTCTTTCTAAAAGTCACCATGGACACAGTGTGGAAGATGGATTGGAAGGCAGTAGCCACCGATGTTCATGATACTGGTTGGAAGGCTGTTCAAATCATCCTTGTGAGAGGTAATGGGAGCCTGCACTAGAATGAGGACAACGAATAAGATAGGGTTACATCCATTTGGAATTACTATAGCCCAGGAATAGACCTAATTTTCTATGAACTAGAGTGGATACATACATACATACATACATACATTTTATAACACATTTTTCAAGTGCTTTTCAGGCAGAACAACAATAGGGGTAAACTTGGACATGACAATCCCAAATGATAAATACTAAGAAGAAGTATTTTAGTTTCCAAATCCAGCTCTGTGAGTTTCTATGTGGTTTTAAGAGCAGGTCTTTGAGGACCTCCACAGGGTCAGCTCTGGGCAAAACTGTGAAAGATTAAATTTTCTTTAGAAGTATTCAGTATTTTTCCTATTTATCCTGCATAATTAACATGTGATTACTGATGACTTGTTATGTACCCAGCATGTCATTATGATTTTTAATACTGCATTAGTTTTCTATGGCTGCTGTAATCATTTACTATCAAGTTAGTGGCTTTAAACAACACAATTTTATTTGATAGTTCTGTAGATCAGAAGTTTGATACAGTTATCATGAAGCTAAAATCAAGGTGTCGGCAGGGCTGTGTTCGTTTCTGGAATCTCTAAGGGGAATATTTTCTTTCCTTTTCCAGCTTCTAGAGGTCACCCCCATTCCTTGGTTCATGGCCCCTTCCTTCATCTTCAAAGCCACCAACGGCAGGTCCAGTTCTTCACATCACACTGGCCTCTCTTCTGCGTCCGTCTTCCACTTTTAAGGACACTTCTGATTACGCTGGGTCCACACAGATAATCCAGTATAATCTTGTTTAAAATCAGCTGATTAGCAACCTTAATTCCATCTGTAAACTTAGTTCCCCTTTGCCATCTCCTCAAGGTCCTTAATAGTAATCAATCTGCAAAGTCCCTTTTGACATATAAGGCAACATATTTATAGATGCTTGGGTTTAGGACATGGGCATCTTTGAGGGACATTCTTCTGACTACCCCAAATATTTCACTTAATTCTCACCATACTATTACTATTATTATGCCCATTTTCCAGAGCCTTACAACCTTAGGACTATCATTCTTCTATGCTATAAATAATGAACCTAACGCTTAATGGAGTTAGATGCAATGACCCCTAAAACACACAGATGTTACAGTAGCCAGGCTAGGATTTGAACCTATGTCTCCTGCGATGGATCTTTTTTTTTTTTTTTTTTTTTTTTGAGACGGAGTCTCACTCTGTCACCCAGGCTGGAGTGCAGTGGCACAATCTCAGCTCACTGCAAGCTCCGCCTCCTGGGTTCATGCCGTTCTCCTGCCTCAGCCTCCCGAGTAGCTGGGATTACAGGCGCCCACCACTACGCTCGGCTAATTTTTTGTATTTTTAGTAGAGACGGGGTTTCACCATGTTAGCCAGGATGGTCTCAATCTCCTGACCTCATGATCCGCCCACCTCAGCCTCCCAAAGTGCTGGGATTACAGGCGCGAGCCACCGCACCCGGCCTGTGATGGATGTTTTAACCACTCAACTGTACTAATTCTCACAGATGTCACTTTTTCCCTGCCTCCTCCTTTTCTCCCTCAGGGTATTCATCTTTCTGTGATACTCCATCAAAACATTGCAGCAGGGAAAGATGTAAAACTCACTGAATTTTTAAAATACAGTGGCTTAAATGGTGCATTCAGTGGTACCCAGGGGCACTCGCCTTTGTGAAGGGTGAGAAGTGTTAAAGTTGCTGGGCATGGTGGCTCATGCCTATAATCCTAGCACTTTGGGAGGCCAAGGCAGGTGGGTTGCTTGAGCCCAGGAGTTTGAGACCAGCCTGGGCAGCATAGTGAGGCCTTGTCACCACAAAATTTTAAAAAACTAGCCGGGCATGGTGCTGCATGCCTATGGTCCTAGCTATTTAGGACACTGAGGTGTGAGGATTGCTTGAGCCCAGAAGGTGGAGGCTGCAGTGAGCTGCGACAGCACCATTGCACTCCAGCCTGTGCAACAGAGCGAGACCCTGTCTGGAAAAAAAAAAAAAAAAAGAGTCAAGGTCAATAACACTAGAGCTAAAGAAATTGAAGGAAAATCTGACAAATTCAGGAGGGACATTTTGAGCTGGAGACTTTCTCAGCACTTCTGGGGCATAGCTGTTTGTCTGCTTTGCTTATTGTAGGGAGCGCCTGGACCCCAGGACAAGGCTTTTGAGAATCAGTAGTGACAAGGTTTTGAGAGCGTTATCTCAGAGTAAGGTCAGATAGTGCCTTGCTGCCCTTCTTGTCCCGGGAGCCATCCACTTACAATATCAAAAGGCAAAATGGCCACATGTATTTAAAATTAGCTCTGACTTAACAAACTAAGTCCATTTTTTAAAAAGAGAGAAAAGCTACAATGCATCCCAAGTATGTGCACAGTGTAAGTTGCATCCCAAGTATGTGCACAGTGAAAGATTAGATGTGCTCATTATGGAAATTCAGGAGTATCAGGCACATATTTCAGTGAGAGCTCATCTTTTGAAAGACAGTCCTGTTTTAGCTAAAAGAGGCATTATTCTATGGCCCGTTTATTTTGCCTTGGCCTCCTCTGCTCCTTTGCCTTCTGGGTTGTGGTTCGTTTCTTGATGTGAGTGCTGGTTATGCAGGTGTGTTCACCTTGTGGCAAGTCATTGAGCTGTACGGTCTTTTTCTTTCTTTCTTTCTTTTTTTCTGAGATAGAGTCTCACTCTGTTGCCCAGGCTGGAGTGCAGTGGCACAATCTCAGCTCACTGCAACCTCTGCCTACCGGGTTCCAGCTATTCTCCTGCCTCAGCCTCCCAAGTAGCTGGGATTACAGGTGCCCGCCACCATGCCCGGCTAATTTTTGTAATTTTTAGTAGAGACAGGGTTTCACCATATTGGCCAGGCTGGTCTCGAACTCCTGACCTCGTGATCCACCTCCCTCAGTCCCCCAAAGTGCTGGGATTACAGGTGTGAGCCACCGCACCCAGCCTATGGTCATGATCTGTGTGCTTTTCTGCATGTGTGCTACACTAATACAACCTCTAAAAACTATGATATATTTTAACTTTAAAAAGAGAAAGAAAAAAGAGGGCAGGTCCTCAAAATCTAAGTCATTCTTTAAAGAAAATCTAAGGCTGGGCATGGTGGTGTATACCTGTAATCCCAGCTGCTCAGGAAGCTTAGATGGGAGGATTGCTTGAGCTCAGTAGTTTAGGATCAGGTGGGAAAAATAGCAAGACTCTGTCTCTAAAAGTAAATAAATACATAAATAAATGAAAAAAAATCTATAAAGGGAACACATCATATCAATCATTAAGGTTTACCAGAGTCACAGTAATTTTTTAAAGTATGATTCTGGAAGCAAAGTAGACCAACAGAACAGAAAAGAGAGAGATCACAGGCAGACCCACATATCTAGGGGGACTTAATATGTCATAAAACGTCACCACAAATCATTAGGGAAAGAATAAATTATTTAATAGCTAGTATTAGGAAAACTAGACCACTACCAGAAAAAAAAATAATGCTAAATCACTGTCTAGCACCAGATGAGTGAACCCAAAATAGATTAAAGGTCTAAAGTTATTAGAAAATATAAAGAAATATTTTTGTGACTTGTGATAGGGGAAATTTTTTCACAAAATCTCAAAAGCACAAACAACAAGGCTAAAACTTCATGAGTTTGTTTATATTAAAATTAAGAATTTCTGTTTATTGAAAGACATCATGGAAAAAAGAGATTGGAGGAATGGAGAAAGTCATTTGCAATACCCGGAACTGACAAAGGATTAATATGTAGAAAATACAAGAGGCATTTGATATCAACCAAGAACAAGATAAGTCCAACAGAAAAGTGAGCAAGAGATACAAAGAGATTTATAGCATTGGAATGCCACGTGGCAGTAAGGCATGTGAAATGATGGTGAAACTCATTAGTAATCAGAACAATACAAATTAAAGTGACAAAGAGCTATCACTTAGTAAAATGATTGGCAAAAGCTAGTAAGCTGTAAAATGACAAATGTTTACAGGGATGTGAGAATACCTCAATCCTTATGCTCTGCTAGGAAAATGTAGTCAGAGGCCATCAATCTGGAGATGATCTGGTACTTGAGCATACTTTATGACCCAGGAATTCCATTCCAGGAATACATTCAAGGAACCCTTCACATGGGTTTATATGGAGAAGAATTTTACTTTAATTATTGCAACATTGCACCTGGCAGCAGGAAGCCATAGGCAATATTGGTGCATGATTCTGACATCAGATAAGTCAAATGTACTCTTTTTAAAATTCACACATGCCCACACATGTGCATGTACAGACAGTTACAAAACTCAATAGTTATAAAACTCAATAACTTCAAGAAAAACAAAGTCTGCCTTTCTTTAGATTTGATTTGCTGAAACTATTCCTAATTCCAATCAACGGGAAATCTCATGTTGTTCTTGAGTCATAGCTCACCCACTGCACCCATAATTTACCATGCTGAATTTCGATACCATGAATTTTTTTTTTTTTTTTGAGACGCAGTTTTGCTCTTGTTGCCCAAGCTGGAGCGTAATGGCATGATCTCGGCTCACTGCAACCTCTGCCTCCTGGATTCAAGCAATTCTCCTGCCTCAGCCTCTTGAGGAGCTGAGATTACAGGCGCATGCCACCACGCCTGGCTAATTTTTTGTTTTTTTTTTTTTTTTTTTTTTTTTTGGGAGAGACAGGGTTTCACCATGTTGGCCAGATGGTCTCGATCTCCTGACCTTGTGATCCACCTGCCTCGACCTCCCAAAGTGCTGGGATTACAGGCATGAGCCATCATGCCCAGCTGGATAGCATGATTTCCAAAGCCAGCTTTCTACCAAGATCCTCAGGTCATAAGAACTATGCCTTTCCATTTTTTCTTTTCCACAATCTGAATTTCTAGTGCAGGAGCCAGCTGGTTCCTCCAGTTATCCTGCAAGCCTTGAAGCCACATGTGGCTCCTCTCTGTCCTCCTTCAGAGATCCTGGAACTGCTTTGAAATGAGAGCTTAAGCAGGAGCTCAGGCCCTATCTATAGACTCCCACGGTGGCTGCTCACTGGAGTTTCAGAGCACTGGCCACCTGGATCCTTATCTCCTTTCCTTCAACTTTGAGCCACTTGTAATTTCAGTGTACAGCCATCACCAGCCTTTGGTTTTGATCAGGATAGGAGCCTGCTGAGTTCTACTGGACCCTGGATTTTGTGTAGTGGGATGTGGTCTTAGTGGCAGTGGGGCACATTTTTCAGGACCCTGCTATAGCTGGCTCACTGATTGCCAGGTTCTACCCATCCCATATGTCTTTTATTCTTAAATAATAAGTAGCCAAATTCCCCAGAGTCATGGTTGGCTGAACAATGGCCTCAGAAATATAACCTTGTCCTAATCCTGGGAACCTGTGAATGTTTCCTTGTATGGCAGAAGAGACTTTGAAGATGTGCTTAAAGATCCTTAGATGAGGAGACTCTCCCAGATTATCTGATGGACCTCACGTAATCACAGTTGTCCTTCAAGAGAAATGACGGAGTCACCAAGTGAGAGGAGATGGCAGTGTGGCGACAGAAGCAGTGACTGGACTGACATGCTTTGAAGGTAGAGGAAGGGGCCTGCTACTGAAACAGGAGAGTCCCCTGATTCCCCTCACAGGATGTCTAACAGGGGTACGGCTCGCCTGTTTGGTTGCCCCACAGCTCAAACCCCTAGGGGTGCATACAGACAGGGAGGTGCAGAGGCTGGGATGAGTGCTTTGGGCTATCAGCCCTGCGGTAGTGTTTAGGGGTGGGTGCCTGTAACTCCGGTGCTACCATGCTCTTTCAGCTTTGCCATCTACAGATGGCTTGTGTGTTAATCTCAATGGACCCTCTGCCTTATTGCAAGGGCAGAAGGCCAGTGTGACAGCCTTTTGTATCCCGAGCTCTTGCCCAGTGTCCCGAAAGAATCGGATCACACAGGGCTCAAAGGATTAGTGCAAGGTTTTATTATGAGGAGGAGGTGGCTCTCAGTGAGATGGATAGGGAGCTGGAAGGGGAATGGAGTGGGAAGGTGGTCCTTCCCTGGAGTCAGGCCACCGAGCTGCTGGACTCTTCTCTGACCACCCCTGGCCAGACTTCCCTTGGTGTCCAGGCATCCCTCCTCTTCTTTCTCTGCTGCATCGTTCCACCACCACTGGTCTGCTGATCTCTCCTGGTGCTTGGGATTTGGGGCTGATATGGAGGCAGGATAGGGGGAATGGCAGGCCAAAAGGCCAGTTTTTGGGCATAAAAACCGAATGCCTGTTCTCATTTAGTGCTGTGGGTCTCCAGGCTTGAGGGTGGGGCCCTTGCCAGGGAACCTCTCTCTTCTACTCAGTATTTTGCTGCCTCCTGTCCATATCACTATGGTTTTAAAGATGGTGTCCTCTCCCAAACTCACATTGAAACTTAATCCCCAGTGCAAGATTATTAAGAGGTGTGGCCTTTAGGAGGTTATTGAGTCATGAGGGATTCAATTCCATGAATGGGATCAGGTACTCTTATGAAAAGGCTTGTTAGAGGGAGTTTGTCCCTTTTCACCGCTATTTCTTCTGCATAGGAAGACGCAGTGTTCCTTTCCTCCGGAGGATGCTGCAATAAGACAACGCTGTGGAAGCCAAGACTGAGCCCTCATCAGACACTGAACTTGCTTGTGCCTTGATCTTGAACTTCCAGCCTCCAGAACTACGAGAACTAAGTTTCTCTTCTTTATAAATTACCCAATCTGTGATAATTGTTACGTTATGGCACCACAAAGAGACTACAAATAGGCTAAGACTGAACCACAAGCCAATAAATAAAGATAGCCTCTTTAAGATGGAAAAGGCAAAAAAACTCCACATACTCTCCAGCGGAGCCTCAAGAAGGAACCAGCCCTGCCAACATCTTAACTTTAGCTAGTGAAACTTACTTTGGAATTCTGACCTCCAGAACTGTAAGAGAATAAACTTGCATGGATTTAAGCCAATAAATTTATAGTAATTTATTACAGCAGCAATAGGAAACTAATATACACAATAATCGCTCTCAAGATGTTACACCAAAGACCTCCTAGCCATAAAACCCAATGGTCTTTTCCTTTCCTCTTTCTTAGCAGCTCTTGGGAGCCTGCCAGATATAGTCGTGGAAAGAACATTAGTTTTAGAAGGGGGAAAAAACCCAGACCTGGTTCTAATTACTATTTCTATGCAAGAATTCTTCCTTGGCATTTCTCAGAAAATTTAGATTTCTCCAAATCCGGAAAATCAGTTGAAAACTTGGGGAAAGTATTATAATTCTCTAGCATGAACTGAAGCTTATCAATCAATATAGGAGACATGCGTTCACAATGGAATCAGTTTGGCTTGTGGCTGTTGCTGTGTTGTGCGTGTATGTTTCTGGCCTTGTGTGATGCTGACAATGAGTCACATTGGCACAGGAAATAAATATTAATAAGCTTATACCCATATCATGCTCCATTTAAATTCTACGAATGCTGTTCTAAGAAATACGAAGTTTTAGAAGCACATAAATCCTTACATTGGCACATTTCTACATGGGATTCTTTGTAGTTCTGTTAAGCTTGCTAGGAAATCCAAATGTTACATTATTTGAATACCACTCGATACCATTTCCTACCATTTTCTAGTATTTGAACATTCACTGTACTTCATAAACGCTACTAAATACTTCTCATTTGTCAAACATGCCTTCCAAAGATAGACATAATCATGAGTAAAGTGTATGAAAATGTTGAAATTATTTTAAAATAACTTATGATTGCGGAATTCCTGAGAAATATTGTAAATTATGATATCTCATTCCCGAATCCTCCAAATTAGTACATGTCAGGAATTTGAAAACACTAGTTTAAATCCCTGCCCTACCATTTTACTAGTAGTAGAGTCTTGAGCAAATTATGATAAGGTTAGATATCCTTATCAAAAAGGGAAAATAATATCATTTGGATTTGTTGCAAGGATTATGTAAGATTATATATGGGAAGTGCCTGAGAGATAAGTTAAAAAAAAAAAAGACAGTTCACAAAAGTAAGAGAGTAAATGTTCATGACCTTAGATTTGGTAAACAGATTCTTACACACCAAAAACATAACCAACTAAAGATAAAACAGATAGATTGAATTTCACCGAAGTTAAAAATTGTATGCATCAGAGAATATTATCAAGAAGGTGAAATGATAACCTACAGAATGGGAGACAATATTTGCAAATCATAAGGGACGTATCTGATCATCGAACCAGAATATATGAAGAACTCCCGACTCCCAACCACAAAAACACAAACAATGCAATCAAAAAAATAGGCAGAGGGATTTCCAGTTTCCTGTACTGCTTGGAAGTTGCCACTGTGTCCTAATAACAAGTAAAAGGCTGAAAAACTGAAAAATCAACAACTCTTCCTGGATCCATAAAAGAAGCGAGGCTTCACAAGCACAGCACTGCCCCAGAAGTTGGAGAGACAGATAGGCCAACGCAGAGAATTGCAACTTACCAGAGCAGAAACCAGTGAGTGTCCCACCTAATTGTAATTGATAAATTCCTGGTGACTCAGTATGAACAAGCCTGAACATTAAAAGCTCCAGGGGACCCAGACATAGAGGTCTCCATCCCTTTGTGAGTTTTACCTCCAGGAGTTTCACCAGGTTCTTAGAGTAAACGGAGAAGAATCTCTTCCCACTTCTGGGGGTGGAAGAGAAAAGGAACCAGAACACTGCGTTCTTCTTAACAAGGTCTGCCCTCAGGAAAATCCAGTTAGTTAATCAGAGCCCAGGCTGCTGGGGCTTTATCAGAGCCTAACGGACCTTGGGGGAAGAGAACTACCAAACGCCAGCCATCAGCCGCTCAGACCTTCCACCTGGGAGAGGAAAAATACCAAAATCCAGCCCACGCAAGCCATCCAGCCTCACCTAAGAAGGAAGAAAAATACTGAGAAACACTTGTGAAGTTCACAATCAGAGGCATCAGCTCACTAAAAGTCCTAATCAAAAAACTATAAAATCATCCTCTTCCCACTTTGCCTCACCACCACAATACTAACGGTCTACGTACAGCAGTTTCTGTTACAACAAAACTGACAAACTTCTAGCCAAGTAAACTGCAAGGAAAAATAGATGCATCTGCTATGACTGTTGGAGACTTCAACAGCTTTCTACCAGGAACAGGCCCAGCAGGCAATCAGTAAGGACGCAGTGGAACTCAATACACTATCAATCAAGTGACTATAATTGACACCTGTAGATGTACAACAGCCGAATACACTTTTTCCTCAAGCTCACTTGAAATATTTACTGGGTTTGACCATATTTTAGGCCATAAAAATATATATTAACAAATTTAAAAGAAATCATAAAATGTCTGCTTTCAGACCATAATAGAATTATACTAGAACTCCAGAACAGGAAGATAACTGGAAAGCCTCAAAATCCTCAAAATAGAGATTAAACAACACACTTCTAAATAACACATGAGTTACAGAAGAAATTGCAAAAGAAATTTTAAAATGTTTTGAACTAAATGAAAGTCAAAACCCAACTTATCAAGAGAGAAAAGTACTTAGAGGGAAATTTATAGCATTGAATGCATATGATAGAAGAGAAGAACAGTCTAAAACCAATAATCTAAACTTTCATTTTAGAAAACTAGAAGAGCAAATTAAATCCAAAATAATTTGAAAAACAGAAATAATAAATAATTAGAGCAGAAATCAGTGACGTTGAAAACAGGAAATTAATAGAAAAATCAATGAAACCAAAAACTAATTCTTTGATAAAATCAATAAGACTCTAGGCTAACTTTTTTCTTAGGCTAGCAAAGAAAAAAAGAAGATCCAAATTACTAATATCAGAAACAAAAGAGAGGACATCACCATAAATCCCATGAACATTAAATGTATAATACAGAACTATTATAAACAATTTTATGTCCACAAATTGTATAACCTAGATGGAATAGGTCATTTCCCTGAAAGACACAATCTGCCAAAACTTGCACACACAAAGAATAATTAATCTAAAGAGCTCTAGGTATGTTAAAGAAATTGAATCAATAATTAATAATCTACCGAACACAAAAGCACCAGGCCCAGATGAGTTCACCAGTGAATTCTACCACACCTTTAATGAAAACATTATACCAATTCTCTACAATATCTTTCAGAAGAAAGAAGCAGAGGAAATGCTTCCTATGTCATTCAATGAGACTAGCATTACCTTAAGAACAAAACCAGACAAAGACATTATAAGAAAAGAAAACCATAGATCAATATCTCTTTTGAATATAGACGTAAAAATTCTCAACAAAATACTAGCAAATCAAATTCAACAACGTATGAAAGAAATTATACACCACAACAACCAAGTATAATTTATCCCAGGTAGGCAAGGCTGGTTCAAAATTTGAAAACCAATTAATGTAAGCCATCACATCCATTGGATAAAGAAAAAAAAAACACATGAGCATATGAACAGGTGGAGAAAAGGCATTTGAAAGAATCCAACACCCATTCATGATTAAAAAACAAAAAAAACTCTCAGTAAATGAGGAATAGAGGAGGATTTTTCCCAGTTTGATAAAGAATATCCACAAAACCTATTGCTCACATCATATTTAATGGTAAGAAACTCAAAGCTTTCGTGCTAACATCAGGAACAAGGCAAGGATGTCCTCTCTCACCGCCCCTTTTCAGTATCATACTGGAAGTCCTAGCTAATGCAATAAAACAAGAAAAAAAAAGAAAAGAAAAGTTACATCAATTAGGAAACATAAAACTGTCTTTGCAGATGACATAATTGTCTATGCAGAAAATCCAAAAGTATCAGCAAAAGAAAAAAAAAAAACTCCTGGAACTAATAAGCACTTACAGTAATTTTGCAGGATACAAGGTTAATATAAAAACTTTTTTTGATATTGGAATATTTGCAGTCTACTTACCAGTTCAGTATCCCTAATCCAAAATTCTGAAATCTGAAATACTCCAGTGGGAATTTCCTTGGAGCATCATGTTGGCACTCAGAAAGTTTTAGATTTTAGAGAATGTTGGATTAGGGATAAGCAACCGGTATAAAGTTACAGATAGATCAATGGAACATAAAAGAGGGCCCAGGAATAGACCCACATAAATATAGTCAACTGATTTTGACACAGGAGAAAAGACAATAACATAGGACAAAGATAGTCATTCCAACAAGTGGTGCTGGAACAACTTGCCATCCACAAGCAACAAAATGGAACAAAACAAAACAAGAATATAGACAGAGACTTTATACCTTTCACAAAAATTAACTGAAAATGGATTGTAGATCTAATTATAAAATGTAAAACCATAACACTTCTAGAAAACAATATAGGAGAAAATCTAGATGGCCTTGGGTTAGGTGATGACTTTTAAGTGCAATATTAAGGGCACTGTCCATGAAAGAAAAAATTGGTAAGACAGATGTCATTAAATACTTCTGCTTTCTGAAAGACACTGTCAGGAAAATGAAAAGACAAGCTGCAGACTGGGAGAATATGTTTGCAAAAAACTTACTTGATAAAAGACTGTTACCTAAAATATGCAAAGAATCCTTGAACCTCAACAATAAGAAAATGGACAACCTGATGAAAAATTGGAGCAAAAGATCTGAACAAATACCACACCAAGGAGGATATAGATTGAGTATCACCAATCTGAAAATCTGAAATGCTCCAAAATCTAAAACTTTTTCAGTGCTGATATGATGCTCAGAGGAATTGCTCGTTGGAGCATTTCAGATTTCAAATTTTCAGATGAGAAATGCTAAACCAGTAGGTATACTGAAAATATTCCAAAATCTGAAAAAAAGAAGTCCTAACTCTGAAACACTTCAGGTACCAAACATTTCAGACAAGGAACATTCGACCTGTGCACACATGGCAAATAAGCATACGAAAAGATGCTCCACATCATATATCGTCAGGGAAATGTAAATTACAACAACAATGAGATATCACTGTATACCTATTAAAATAGCCAAAATCCACAACACTGACAACACCAAATGCTGGTGAGGATGTGAGGCAACAGGAAGTCCCACTAACTGCTAGTGGAAATGCAAAATGGTACAGCCACATTGAAAGATAGTTCGGTGATTTCTTACGAAACTAAACATAACATTACAATACAATCCAGCAATCATGCTCCCTGATATTGACCCAAAAGAGCTGAAAACTCGTGTACACACCAAAATCTGCACACAGGTGTTTATCGCCTCCTTACTAATCATTACCGAAACATGGAAGCAACCAAAGTGTCCTTCACTGAGTGAATGCATAAACTGTGGTACACTCAAACAATACGATATTATTTGGTGCTAAAAAGAAATGAGCTATCAAGCCATGAAAAGACATAGAGAAAACTTAAATGTATATTACTAAGTAAAAGATGTCAACCTTAAATGGCTAAATATGGTATTCAGCTGTAGGAAATTCTGAAAAAGGGACAACTATGGATACAAGAAAAAAATCAGTGGTCGCCACAGGTCAGGGGGAGGAAAGGATGAACAGGTGAAACCCAGAGGATTTTTAGGGCAGTGAAAGTACTTTGCAGAATACTGCAATGGTGGATACATGTCATTAGCCATTTGTCCAAATCCACACATTCTATAACACTAGGAGTGTCATAATGCAATGCTAATGTTATGCTGTGTAGAATCCTAATGTAAAGTATGGATGCTGGGTGATAATGAAGAGTCAATGCAGGTTCATCCGTTGTGATAAATATACCACTCTGGTAGGGAATATTGATAATAGGAGAGGCTATTTATGAATGGAGGCAGGTAATACATGGGAAATCTCTGTACTCTTCACTAAATTTTGCTGTGAACTTAAAACTGTTCTAAAAATCAAGTCTATCTTTTCAAAAAATAGTTAAAGGATTTGAATAGATATTTCTACAAAGAAGATATACAAATGGACGGTAAGCACATGACAAGATGCTTAGTATCCTTAGTCATTAGGGAAATGCAAATCAAACAATGAGATAATTTCACACCTACTGGAATGAATGTAGGAAGAAACAAACAGAAAATGGAAAATAACGACTGTTGTCAAGAATGTTGAGAAATTGGAGCCCTCATACATAGTTGATGGGAATTTAAAACAGTGCAACTGCTGTGGGGAACAGTTTAGTGGTGCCTCAAAAATCTAAATACGATGTTTCTATGTGATGTAGCAATTCCAATTCCATTTCCAAGTATGGCATATGCCAAAAAGAATGGCGAGCGGGAACTCACACAGATACTCATTGCAGCGTTGTCACATAGCTAAATGGTGGGGAGACGCAGGTGTCTTCCAACACATAAATGGATACACAAAAAGTGGCATCAACACAATGGAATATTATTCACAAATAAAGGGGAATGAAGTTCTCAAATATCCCATTATATGGATAAATCTTGAAAACATTTATGCTAAGCAAAATATGCAACACACAAAAGGACACACTTCGCATAAATCCATTTATATGAACTATCTAGAATAGACAATCCATAAGACAGAAAATAGAGGCGCCAATCAGAGGAGCTCCAGGACTCCCACCACACTCCTATAGCCAGAAAAACCTCAGTGATGGTTGGACTTTGTGAGATTTTGCTTGAGCAAAGGGTTCCATGGTTGGGAAACTTGGAAGCCACCTTCTCACCAGAGCTGTCCCCCAAGTATTAACTATCCCGTCTTAGCAAAGATATTTTTTACCTTTACCCCATAAAGTTTCTTTTGTTGTTTTATTTTTCTCATAACGAAAGAAGACTTGAAAAAAGGACATATAGAAAACCACATCCACTCTAATGCAGCATGAGATAGTGATCCCACAAGCATCACTATCTTTTTTTTTTTTTTTTTTTTGAGACAGAGTCTCACTCAGTCACCCAGGCTAGAGTGCAGTGGCACCACCTCAGCTCACTGCAACCGCCGCCTCCCAGGTTCAAGCGATTCCCCTGCCTCAGCCTTCCGAGTACTTGGGATTACAGGCGCCAGCCTCCACGCCCAGCTAATTT
Source organism: Homo sapiens (assembly GCF_000001405.40). Lineage (NCBI taxonomy): Eukaryota > Metazoa > Chordata > Mammalia > Primates > Hominidae > Homo > Homo sapiens. The sequence continues at coordinate 18,061,719 of NC_000010.11, read as the reverse complement.
TTGTATTTTTTGTAGAGGCGAGGTTTCACCATGTTAGTCAGGCTGATCTCACACTCCTGACCTCAGGTGATCCACCTGCCTCGGCTTCCCCAAGTGCTGGGATTACAGGCATGAGCCACCGTGCCCGGCCACAAGCATGGCTATCTATTGTTCCATTCACAGAATGGAATCGGACAGCCCCACTCCCCCTGTTCCTTCAACTTTACGTGTTGAAGAGTCCTAAATTATAGGGCAGAAGGAAGGGGCCCATGCTAGATGTCTGCAAATGAAGAGATGTGAGAGAAGAATGGGATTTTAGTCTTATTTAAACAGCGGCAGTTCAACCTGGCGGAGTGGGAGGATGCTGGAGCGAAGACGCTACCTCTTTCTTTGTTTTTCTACATTCAGAGGGCCTTAGTTTTTAAATTTTTAAAATTTCAATTTTTAATGTTTATGGATACATAGTTATACATATTTATGGGATGCTTATGACATTTTGATACAAGCATACAATGTGTAATAATCAATTTTAAGTCATTGGGTTATCCATCAGCTCAAGCATTTATCATTACTTTGTGTTAGGAATATTCAAAATGTACTTGTTATTTTGAAATAAACCAAAATTTTTATTGAGCTTTTGAACACTGTATTTTATTCTATCTAACTATATTTTTGTACCTATTATCCAACCCCTCTTTATCCCTCCTCCCCACTACTCTTACAGTCAGAAATTCTTTTTGCTTTTTTTTTTTTTGAGACGGAGTCTCGCTCTGTCTCCCAGGCTGGAGCGCAGTGGCATGATCTCAGCTCACTGCAACCTCTGCCTTCCCAGGTTCAAGCAATTCTTCTGCCTCAGCCTCCTGAGTAGCTGGGACTACAGGCACGCACCACCGTGCCTGGCAAATTTTTGTATTTTTAGTTGAGACGGGGTTTCACCATATTGGCCAAGCTGGTCTTGAACTGCTGACCTCCTGATCTGCCCGCCTCAGCCTCCCAAAGTGCTGGGATTACAGGCGTGAGCCACTGCGCCTGGCCCAGAAATTCTTAAATCCCTCCAGTCAGGAGTGGAAAAGAATTGGGTGGTTTTGAGTCAGCCCTGACCAGACAATGGCAGCCATGGGCCCAGGTTTAGCCTGAGAAAGGCCAAGTATGGGCCCCGCTACCCTCAGCGGGTTGACTTTTCTGTTTGCTTTTCCTCACAATAGATTCATTGCAATGGGAGACTCGAGCTGTCACCATAAAATACTAACACGAGGCAGGGCCTACTGCAGCGTTAACCTTATCTGAGAGGCATTATGCGATCAAGGGAGGCTTGGCAACCTTCCTGCGCTCTGCTCCGCAGAGCAGGCTGAAGTGCTGATTTTCGCTTCTCCAGCTCATTTTGACTCAGCTAAATGAAGGAATAGCAAACACAATGTCAGTGTGATGACTGAAAGGACACAAACCAGATACGGGCTCGCTAAGTTAAGTACATTCAAAGGAGAAATATTTATATTTTACATTTTAAATAGTTCCCGAGAGTTGCACAATATGTTTTCCATCTCACTTGTGTTTAAGAACTTATCGTACATGAAAAGCAAAGCAGCCCTCTCAAGCTGTGGATTCAAATGATAGTGATTTTCTTATCGTATAGATCAAAATAACAGACTCAGAACACGAACAGAGCTTTCTGTGCAAAGACACGGAACACAGATCACTCAGAAGACAAGGTAAACGATTGCGCTAATTTTGAGCCTACGTTCTGTCGTGAGGCCTGGCTCTTTGGATACAAGCTGCTGAAAGGTAACATATGTCCCCACACTTCTCCTGCATAATCATGAAATGCAAATACACATTTTCTGGAACGTGTTTCCTGAGACTCTGGGGGAATGATATCCAGATTTGGGCAAAGGGGGAATGAGGAACAATCTGGGACTCTCACAGAGGGAAGGAGAAAGGCAGGAACATTTTTAATAAAAAGCTTGACCTACACCATACAGTGTGAAGGGAAATGAGGTTGTTTTGAACGGCAAGCCTCTTGAGAGAGAATGGCCATTTTTCAAGGCCACTGCGTGACCAGGAAGAGGAAAGGGCCCTGTGTCGTTGGATTGCTCTCTGTAGAAACAAAGGACCACCCAAGCAAATGAAGGGAGAGAGAGAACTGGATGTTAGGGGATTGAAAGAAATTATTATCAGAGGAAAGGAGGGAAAGAGGTAACATGCAGAACAACGCAACAGTGAGTCACACCCCTCATTTCCATCACGGGGTGCATCCATGGAAAATACCAGTACAGTTCGCTATGACACTTAAGTGTAGGGGCTGCAGGAGTCAGCCTGCCGGGGTTGGGTCCCAACCTCACTACTTTCTAGCTGTGGGACTTGGCTGAGTTCCCTAATCTCTGTGATTAAGTAAACGTAATCTCTGTGATTAAGTAAATGGAGGAAATATGAGTATTGACCTTTTTTCGCTTTAAGAAACATATAGCACTTATTGTATGCCAGAAATGATTCTAAGTACTTAAAAGTATGTCACTTAACAAGGGGGATATATTCTGAGAAATCCATCAGTAGGCAATTTCGTGGTTGTGTGAACATCATAGCATGTGCTTACACAAACCTAGATGGTGCGGCCTACGACACACCTGGGCTAGATAGCACAGACTATTGCTCCAAAGCTACAACCTGCACAGCATGTGACTGTACTCAATTCTGTAGCAACTGTAACACAATGATAAGTATTCGTGTATCTAAACATATCTCAGCATAGAAAACGTGTGGTGATAATATGGTATAGAGGATTTTTTTTTTTTTTCCTAAGAGTCTCGGTCTGTCTCCAAGGCTGGAGTGCAGTGGCGAGATCTCAGCACACTGCAACCTCTGCTTCCCGGTTCAAGCAATTCTCCTGCCTCAGCCTCCTGAGTAGTTGGAACTACAGGCGCCCACCACCACACTTGGCTAATTTTTGTATTTTTAGTAGAGACGGGGTTTCACCACGTTGGTCAGGCTGGTCTCGAACTCCTGACCTCATGATCAGGTCTGGGTGGGTGAGCCACTGCACCCAGACTTGGAATATTTTTTAAAGTATACCTCTCTGGGTCACTTACCATGAATGGAGCTTGCGGGACTGGACTTTGCTCTGGGTCAGTCAGTGACTGAGTGGTGAGTGACTGTGAAGCCCTAAGACATTACTGCTGTGAAAGAAAAATAAATCTTGGGGCCCCCACATCACTAAGCTAAAGGGAAATGTCAAGCTGGGAACTACTTAGGGCAAACCTGCCTCCCATTCTATTCAAAGTCATCCCTCTGCTCACTGAGATAAGTGCATATCTGATTGCCTCCTTTGGAGAGGCTAATCAGAAACTCAAAAGAATGCAACCATTGGTCTATATCTCTGTTTTGGTACCAGTAACATGCTGTTTTGGTTACTGTAACCTTGTAGTATAGTTTGAAGTGAACCCAAATGTCCATCAATGATAGACTGGATTAAGAAAATGTGGCACATATACACCATGGAATACTATGCAGCTATAAAAAAGGATGAGTTCATGTCCTTTGTAGGGACATGGATGAAGCTGGAAACCATCATTCTGAGCAAACTGTTGCAAGGACAGAAAAACAAACACCGCATGTCGTCACTCACAGGTGGGAATTGAACAATGAGAACACTTGGACATAGGAAGGGGAACATCACACACCGGGGCCTGTTGTGGGGTGGGGAGAGGGGGGAGGGATAGCATTACGAGATATAACTAATGCAAATGACAAGTTAATGGGTGTGGCACACCAACATGGCACATGTATACATATGTAACAAACCTGCACATTGTGCACATGTACCCTAGAAGTTAAAGTATGGAAAAAAAAAAAAAAGAATGCAACCATTTGTCTCTTACCTACCTGTGATCTGGAAGCTCCCTCCCATCTTCAAGTTGTCCCGCCTTTGCTTCGAGTTGTCCCACCTTTCCGGACGGAACCAATGTTCATCTTACTTACGTTGATTTATGTCTCATGTCTCCAAAAATGTATAAAACCAAGCTGTGCTCTGCCCACCTTGGGCACATGTAGTCAGGACCTCCTGAGGCTGTGTCACCTCAACCTTGGCAAAATAAACTTTCTACATCAACTGAGACCTGTCTCAGATATTCAGGGTTCATACTGTACACTATTGTAGACTTTAGAAATGCTCTATACTTAGGCTACACTAAATTTATTTTTTAAGTAATTTTGCTATTTTATGATGGGTATGACATCACTAGGCAATAGGAATTTTTCAACTCCATTATAATCTCATGGGGCCACCATCATAGATATGGCGTGGTGTTGAATGAAGCAGTGTTGTGAGGTTCATGACTGTGTTTACTCATCAATTCTCATAATGATACCGTGAAGTAGGTAGTAAAGGTTGCTGTGAGGATTAAATGAGATAATATAATCATTTATAAACAGTGCTCCAGATATAGAAAATATTCAAAAAATGTTGCTAATGTTATTATTATTACGAATGCTTTTGAATGAACTCAATTTAAGCTTTACTCATTTTCTAGAAACGAGGCAGGTAAATAATATTAACAGAAGTGACAATATAATGGTAGCTGTGGTTTATTGAGTACTGATTACATGGAAGGAGCTGTGTTAGGTTCCTTACACATATGACGATCTTGCGAGGCAGAAAGTATTAGATCCGTGATGGAAACTGAGGCTCAGAGAGGTTGAGGAATTTGCCCAAATTAACACAGCAAGGTTTTGGCAGGCTCCAAAACCTATGTTCTTCCCATACTTCATGTTGCAGAGGGTAGAACTAATAAACAGATGTCACCATCAGTAAACAAACTACAAAATGTAAGTTTATGAGAATTGTTGAATGATCCCTATATATGGCTGTGTCTGCTCTCTAAACACCAACGTGTTCATGTAAGAATAACTACCTCAAAGTAGTGGATATCTGCATATTGCCTGGAACAGTGCCAGGTACACAGTTGGTGCTTGACAAATGGAGGTGTTGCTTGTAGTGCTGGCAGTCTTTGATATGGAGGGAGTAGCTACTCCCATTATGTATGTGGATATATTTATTCATTCTAGAGTTGCATAAATAATATTGTTAATCTTTTTGCAAGGGAAGTTCTTGCTTAAGAGGAAGATGGTTGAAGTCTAAAAAGAAGATCAGAGCAAAAGACAGAAAACAGACTCAAAAAGGCGGTCAGGAGGGCTGGGTTTAGGGTGCAGCTCTGCCCCTCACCAGCTGCAGTGCTATGGTCAGGGCCATCCTGCTCCCTTGGTTCCCACACCCTGGATTCTCAAATCCTCTGATGAGCCCATAGCAAGAGCAGGAGCAGGAGCAGGAGCAATCGGCCTAGCAGAGCTAACCTTGGGGTTGGTGTTGGAATTCAGACACACTCCTCTAGGGCTGAGGTGCGGGGACCCAACCATGATCCTGGTGGGAGCCTTGGACCACAGCCCGCTAGACCCTGAGATCTGGATCCTTTGAGGTCATGTGGAAGGAGGACTTCTGGAATCAGAATTGAGGCTGTGACACCTCTTTAATATCATGTCTGAGCAGCTTGTGTTCCCTCTCCCAACTTCCTCCTTTCCCCTCAGCTAAGCCAGCCTCTGCAAACCCCTTTCTGTTGCTTTCTCTCCTTTGCTGCTAGCCCCTTGTCATCCATAACCCTCTAACAACATATTTCTGATCACACCACATTGAGCTGTAGGTTATCAAAGCCTCCTTTGATAGCAGCCCATGATTCTGTGTAAGAAACTGTATCTGCTCACATCACACACCTATTTCAGAGAAAAATTCTGTTTAACTGTTTAGGCTCTAAGTGACCGACAACTGTCTTGATGCAGGACATAATTGGACAGTCAGACAAATATTAGTATCTGACCTCAAATTTGATTGTGTCTTTTCTTTAAATAAATTGTCAGCAATAAAGTCATCTTCTGTTTTGTATAGAGAATTATGGTTGCATGTACTCTCAAATGCATTTTCCCTTGTCTTCCTTACACTGAACCTGAAAGATAGATGCTATTAACCCCTTGCCAATATCTTATAAACATCAGTGAACTCATGTAAGATTAACTGCCTCAAAGTTTCATTAACGATTAAAGGAGATGATACAGTGTCTTACAGAGTGCTGGGTATAGAGTCAGTGCTTAACATATAAAGATGACTCTAGTACTGGCAGTGGTATGGTTGGGGGAAGTTATTTTCATTACATCATATGATGTAGATGTGAAATTTATCATCAAAGCTCACTTCTAAACTAAGATAACTAAACACAGATCCTGTCATATTTATTTTTTATTTTTAAATTTTTATCTATTTATTTTTTTGAGACTGAGACACCCAGGTTGGAGAGCAGTGGCACAATGATGGCTCACTGCAGCCTCAACATTCTGGCCCAAGTAATCCTCCCACCTCAGCCTCCTGAGTAGTCAGGACCACAGGTGCGCACCACCACCACACCTGGCTAACTTGTCATATTTTTTACCTAATTTTTAAATGTCAACCATAAAGGAAGTGTCTGAGCAGTGGCAAGTCAACAATTGAGTTCTGGAACCAGCAGTAGCCTAAAGAATCTGTTACTGACTCACTATGATAGCATATTAGTTCCAGGAGCTTTTTTGTCAATTTTTTTTAGATTCTCTACATAGATAATCATGGAATCTATAAGCAAAGGCGATTTTACATCTTCCTTCTCAATCTGTGTATCTTTTATTTCCTTTTCTTGTCACATTGCATTGGCTAGGACTTCCAGGATCATGATGTAAAAGAGTGGTGAGAGGAGACATCCTTGTCCTATTCTTGATTTTAGTGGGAAAGCTTCAAGTTTCTCACCATTTAAGCGTGATGCTAGATGCAGGATTTTGCAGATGTTCTTTATCAAATTGAGGAGACTCCTCTCTATTCCTAGTTTGCTGAGAGTCTATTTTCCATTTTTAAATCAGGAATGGGTGTAGGATTTTGTGAAATGCTTCTTCTGGATCTATTGATATAATCATATAAGTTTTCCCCTTTAGCTCATATGATGGAATAATCAGTTTTCAAATGTCGATCATACTTGCATACCTGTGATAAATCCCACTTGGTCATAGTATATAGTTCTTTTTATACATTTTTTAATTGTTTGCTAATATTTTGTTGAAGATTTTTCTGTCTATATTTATGAGAGATATTGGTTTGTTATTAGGGTAATGCTGGCTTCATTGAGTGAGTTAGGAAGTAGTCTCTCAGCTTTTATCTTCTGGAAGAGATTGCAGATAATTCGCATAATTTCTTTCTTAAATGTTGGATAGCATTTACCAGTAAAGTCATGCGGGCCCAGTACTTTCTGTTTTGGAAGGTTATTAATGTTTGTTTCAATTTCTTTAATACTTGTAGTCCTATTCAGGTTATCTCGGTCTCTTTGTGAGTTTTGGCAGATTGTGTCTTTCAAGGAATTGGTGCATTTTATCTATTGTGAGCATAGAGCTGTTCATAGTATTTCTGTATGATCCTTTTAATAACTGTGGGATCTGCAGGGATGCTACCGCTTTTATTTCTGATATTACTAACTTGTGTCCTGTTTCTTTTTTTTTTTTTCTTGGTTAACCTCACCAGAGATTTATATTGCTCAAGAACCAACTTTTGGTTTCTTTGATTTTCTCCATTAATTTCCTGTTTTAAATTTCAGTTTCTCTTTTATTATTTTCTTCTGCTTAACTTTGTCTTTATTTTTTCTTTTACTAGTTTCCTAAAGTAGAACCATAGATTGATTTTTGACCTTTCTTTTTTTTCTAATATATTAAGATGATAATTTCTAAGTACTACTTTCACAGCATCTCACAAATTATAATAAGTTGTATTTTCATTTTTATTTAATCAAAATACATTAGTTTCTCTTGAGATTACTTCCTTGATTCATGTGTTACTTAGAAATGTGTTGTTTAATCTCTAACTATTTGGGGATTTTCCAGCTATCTTTCTATTACTGATTTCTAGTTTAATTCCACTGTGATCTGAGAACAGACATTATATAACTTTTATTGTTTTAAATTTGTTAAGGTGTGTTTTATGGCCCATAATGTAGTCTGTTTTGGTAAATGCTCTGTGTGTGCTTGAGAAGAATGTGTATTCTGCTGTTGTTGGATGAAGATGAAATAGTCTATAGACGTCATTTGATCCAATCGATTGATGGTGTTGTTCAGTTCAACTACGTCTTTACTGATTTTCTGCCTGCTAGATCTATCAATTACTATTTATTTCTTCTATCTACTGTTAGAGGCCAATTGAAGTATTCAACGGCAATAGTGGGTTAATCTATTTCTCCTTGCAGTTTTATTAGTTTTTGGCTCACATATTTTGGCACTCTGTTGTTACGCACATACACATTAAGAATTATTATGTCTTCTTGGAGAACTGACTCTTTTATTATCATGTAGTACTCCTCCTTATCCTTGACAATTTTCCTTTCTCTGAAGTTTTCTTTGTCTGAAATTAATGTAGCTACTCCAGCTTTCTTGTCATTAACGCTAGCATAGAGTATCTCTTTTGTTTTTATTTCTATTAAAGTAAAATATACATAACATAGAGTCTATCATTTTAACCATTTGGAAGTGTACAGTTCACTGGTGTTAAGTACATTCACATCATTGTGTAGCCATCACCACCATCCATCTCCAGAATGTTTCCTTATCTGAAACTGAAACTTTGTACCCATTTTCCCCTTCTGCAATCCCTAACAACTACCATTCTATTTTCTATCTCTGTGAATTTGACTACTCTAGATACCTCACATATATTGAGTCATGCAATATTTGTCCTTTTGTGTCAGTTTATTTCACTGAACGTATCTTCACAGTTCACTCATGTTATGGCATTTGTCAGAATTTTGTTCCTTTTTAAGACTGGATAATATTCTTTTGTACGTATACACCATATTTTGTTATTCTATTCATCGATTCAGTGAAAATGTTTCACCTTTTTGCCATTGCAAATATGTGGATATGAACATTGGTATACAAATATCTGTTTGAGTCCCTGATTTCCAAATTTTGGGGTACATACCCAGGAGTGGAGTATCATCCCTTTAATTTTAAATGTAATTAATGCATTAAATTTTTTACGTAGAAATGGTGTCTTGCTATATTGCCCAGGCTGGTCTTGAAACCCTGGCCTCAAGAGATCCTTGTGCCCTGGCCTCCCAAAGGACTGGGATTATAAATGTGAGCCACCACACCCAGCCCCTTTCAATTTTAATGTTAAGTCTGTGTCTTTATATTTAAACTGGCTTTCTTTATATATATAGTTGGGTCTTAGTTTTTGTATCCACTTTGACAATACCCTGTCTTTTAATTGATATATTTAGACCATTGGTGCTTAAAGTGATTCATACAGTTGATTTAATATCTATCATATTTGTTACTGTTTTCTATTCATGATCTTTTTTCTACTTGTTTTGTTTTGGTCTTCCACTTTTTTTCTGCATTCTCTGGTTTAAATTGACCATTTTGTATGCTTCTATTTTTTCTACTCTGTTAGCATATCAAACTTCATTTAAAAATTTTTTTAGCAGTTGCTCTTGACTTTGCAATATACATTTACAACTAATCCAAGTCCTCTTTCAAGTAACACTGCATCCCTTCCCATGTGGGGCAAGTACCTTAACAGAGTACTCCCAATTTCTCTTCCCATTCCTTATAACACTGCTGCCATTCATTTCAACTACCTGTAAGCAATAATTACCAAATACATTTTTGATATTATTTTAAATAGTTATCTATTAGACCAATTAAGAAGAAAAATAAAAAATCTTATTGTGTCTTGATTCTTTAGTGCTCTTTCTTTATGCAGATGCAACTTTCTACTTCATTTTCTTTCTGAAGAATTTATATTTAACACTTCTTGCAAGACCAGTCTACTGGCAATAAATTCCCTCAATTTTTGTTTGTCTGAGAGAGTCTTTATGTCTCCTTTACTTTTGAAAAATAATTTCTTTAGATGGAGAATTATAGGTTGGTGGCTTACATCCCTTGAAACATTAAATATTTCATGCCACTCTTTTTGATGGCATGGTTTTTGAAGAGAAGGCCAATATAATTCTTATTTTTCTCCTTGCTCCTGCAAAGGTAAAAATATTTGTCTGTTGGCTTCTTTCAGTATATTTTCTTTGCCTTTTTCTACAGCTTGAAAATGGCATGGTCAGGTGTACATTTTTTGGTATTTCTCCTGCTTGGTGTTCTCTGAGCTTTCTAGATATGGGGTTTCATGTCTATTATTAATTTTGGAAAATTTTAACTCATTATCGCTTCAAGTGGTTACTGTTCTTTTTTCTTTCTTCTCCTTCACATTCCCATTATGTGTATGTTACACCTTTTCTAATTGTTCTACAGTTCTTCAATATTCTATTTTGTCTATTTTATTCTTTTTTCCCCTTGTATTTCAGTTTGGGATGTTTCTATTGACATTTCTCCAAGTTCAATGATTCTTTCATTGGCCATGTCCAGTCTATTGAGGAGGCTTTCAAAGGCATTCTTCATTTCTGTTCCAGTGTTTGGGATTTCTGGCATTTCCCTCTTCCATCCTTCCCTCCCTCCCTCCATCCCCTTCCTCCCTTCCTTCTCTCTTTCTTTCTCTTTCTTTGTTTCTTTATCTTTCCCTGTCTCTCTCTCTCTGTGTCTCTGTCTCTGTCTCTCTCTCTCTCTCAGGCTGGAGTACAGTGACATGATCATGGCTTACTGCAGCCTCGACCTGCCAGGCTTAAGCAGTCCTACCACCTCAGCCTCCAGAGTAGCTAGGACCACTGGCACATGCCACCATGTGCAGCTAATTTTTGAATTGTTTGTAGAGATGGGATCTCACTACATTGCGCAGGCTGGCCTCGAACTTTTGGGCTCAAGTGATCCTCTCACCTCAGCCTCCCAAAGTACTGGGATTATAGGCATGAGCCACCACACCCAGTCCTTTTGTTCTCTCTTAAAAGCTTCTACCTCTCTGCTTACATTTTCCATTCATTCTTGCATGCTGTCAACGTTTTCCATTAGAGGCTTTTGTCTTTCAATCATAGTCATAGCTGTTTTAAATTACTGGGCTGATAATTCTAACATCTTTGCCATATCTTAGTCCGGTTCTGATGTTCGCTCTGTATCTTCAAACTATGTTGTTTGTCTTTTAGTATGCCTTGTTATTTTATGTTGAAAGCCAACACAATACACAAAATGAAAGGAACTGAGGTACTAGTCCTTTATCTGTCTAGGGGTTAGGCTATAATTAGTGTTTGCTGGAGCTGTAGTTGTCAGAGGCTAAAATTTCCTCTGGTATCCTTGTTCTTGTCTCCCATGTTGTCTTTATATTTCTCCAGATGCCTCTTCTGAAATCACATGTGGGATGCACAGTGCTTACAGTTGCATGGCCTTGTTATTATACAAGAGCCCTGTTGATGTGTTGATAAGGTGTAGGGGAGGGGAAGTGTTCTAAAATCCTATGATTAGGGCTCATCCTTTTCATGAGCCCGTGTCCTTGGGCTGTGACCTCAGTTTTTATTTTCTCTCTCTTAGGTAGACAGAAAGGTTAGGGGGAGCTGCAGTTGGGCACTTCTCTTTTTCCAGGCTGTCAGTCTCTGATATTTTTATCAAATAGGCTCAGGTAAAATGGCTTCTCTTGAGGGCAGACCTTGTTAAGAACAGAAAGCTCTGGTGTATTTCCAAATGGCTGCTTTCCCCCTCTCCATGCCGGAAGCACTTGTTGATTTTTCTCCAGTCTTCACTGTGAGAACCTGGTAGGGTTCCTGGAGGTAAAAATCATGCAGGTGAGGGCCCTCCATGCAAAACTGGGCCATCCTAGGGTTTTTAGCTCTCAAACTTCTCTACAGTATGATTCGAGCAATTAATCAATGCCAATCTAAGGTTTCTCTACCTTGTTATTGGATACTGGTCCTGGGTCCTGCAGTGTTTTCTGCTCCTGGGCTTCGGCTTTGGTAAGTTGCAGTTCTCTGTATCTGTCTCTTACATTTTGAGGCCAACAATTTGCTCTGCGACCTTTGCTCTCTGAAGGACCTTAGAAGAATTGTTGCTTTTTAGGGTGTTTGACTTTTTTCTTGTAATGATTTCTAAGCTCCTTACGTGTCAGAGTGGAATCCAGAAGTTCCATATGGCAGATTTTTGAACACATAGGCGACTTCACTCATTATCTTTTTGAAATTTTAGGTTGTTTAATAATGGCACAATCTTCCAGAGTTCTTACAGATTTTTTTTTAATTTATTTTACTCGTTTCTTATTTCCAAAGCTAAATATAACACAGTGGTGCCAAAAATAATGAAATATAGGTTGTTTTTTAAAAAAGCAAAATCATATCATTTAAATACCACCCCTTAGGAAATATTATGAACATTTTAGCATATAGTCTTCCAGAACATTTTCAATATGGATATATGTGTAATATATCATACTGTATATTCACAACACTGGAATTATATGCTTTGTTGGTAAATTGCTTTTTTACTCAATGGGTTGTGAATACTTTTTATAACTATAAATATTTGCTTACAATACAGGATTTTATTCTTCCAAGGATATTAGTAGGGATCCCTTGGAGACTTCTACAGGAAGGAAAGGGAGAGACCAAGAAATTAGAGCCCTGATTTCCATTCCTTGGCTTTTACCAAGGCAGTTTTAAGAGCATCTGTGCAGATTCCACACAAGTTTTTCTGTAATAAAAAGGTCTTATTGCTTAAAATATAAACCTATATATTGAAAGCTGCTGCCCTGCATGTAGATTTCTCCTCTGTAGTGTCATTCTCAAGAGCTGAAGGGCATTCTGTGTGAGGTTTACTTTTGAGGTTTACGTGACCCTATCATCCATCATTCAAGCTGCTTTCAGCTTGATTGTCACTTTTTTAGAAGCGTCATTTTGTTGTAGACATAGTTACGTGTCTTCTTGGTTTGTGTATCTACATAGCTAATAGCCGTGTTCTCTCTGTTGTGTCCAGTCTGTTGAGTTTGTTGAAGAAAATGAACCTAAAGAGAGAGTGACCCTTAGTGACACTTTCTAGTTTGCAGTCCTTAACCTAGGTTTTAAAAATATAATTCTTCAAATATTTATGCCGAGGAGAATCCCAAGGGCTTTGATGTTTGGGAATATTCCTCCTTTAGAAAGTTCATTAGTTTCCCAGCCGGGCGTGGGGGCTCATTTCTGTAATCCCAGCACTTTGGGAGGCCGAGGCTGGCATATTACCTGAGGTCAGGTGTTCAAGACCAGCCTGGCCAACATGATGAAACCCTGTCTCTACTAAAAATACAAAAATTAGCCAGTGTGGTGGCGGACGCCTGTAGTCCCAGCTATTCAGGAGGCTGAGGCAGGAGAATTGTTTGAATCCAGGAGGTGGAGGTTGAAGTGAGCCGAGATCATACCACTGCACTCCAGCCTGGGTGACAGAGCGAGACTGTCTCAAAAAAGAAAAAAGAAAAAGAAAAAAAGAAAGTTCATTAATTTCCTAAGGCTGCTGTACAACCAGTAACCACAAACTGGTAACTTCAAACAGCAGAAATGTATTCTCACAATTCTTGAGGCTTAACATCCAAAATCCAGGTCTCATCAGGGCCAGGCTTCCTCTGCAGGCGCTAGGGAAGGATCCTTCCTTGCCTCTTCCTAGCTTCTGGTGGTTACTGGCAATCTCTGGCATTCCTTGGCTTATACCTGCATCATCCAGTCCTCTGCCTCTGTCCTCCGTTGGCCATCTTCCCTGTGTGTGTGTCCCCTCCTCTTCTTACAAGGACACCAGTCATATTGGATTTAGGGTCCACCTAAAACCAATACAATCTCATCCTACCTTAACTAATTATATCTGCAGAGGCCTTATTTCCAAATAAGTCTACATTCTGAGGTTCCAGCTGGACATGAATTTTGGGGAAATACTATTCAACCTACTGTACTAATGGCTTCTACAAGAATAACAGAACCTGCCATAAGCTGTGTGCTATTTGATGTGCAGTGGATGAACCACCCCTTCCACTGGGGAGAGAGTCCTTACTTCAGGATTGAATGGCCTGTATTCAGTGAGATCTTAAAGGATCATCTAGTCTAATCTCCCATTTTTCAGAGGAGGAAGTGTAAGCCTGAAAACTCACAGACAGTTGCTGCTAGATCCAGAGCTAGCACCTCTGATCACTTTCTTTACCATCCCATAAATCAACAATTAGAAAACCCAGAAGGCAACGCAAAAACTTACTGCATAGGTTGCAAGTCCCGATAGGGGGATATTAACATGAACTGGAATAGTAAAAGTAACCTCAGATAACTAAGACCTTATAGGTGAGAAGGCTTGATTGAGCAGGACCAGGGAAGACTGTAAAGATTATTAAGATTGCTGGATTAGAATTCAGGGATCTAGAATTTAGTCTTAGGTAAACTCATTTCCAGAGATAAGAGCTTAGGTAGTAATTCAGACTCGTTGAACCTCAGTTTCTCTATGCAGAGGGGGTGCGAGGTAGAGATTAGTATCACAGACTCTGGAGCTTACTTCAGCTCTGTAAACTTGAGCAAGTTAATTGACCTTTCTGGGCCTCAATTTCTTCGTCTGTAGAATGGAATTGTAAACCGCATTACACCTATAATCACAGGGTTCTTGGAATTAAATGACTCTCATAAAGCACTATTAGCAGTATCTGGTATATAATAAGTGCTATAAAAATACTTGCTATTACATCACCATTATAAATCAAAGAGTTGGATTAAATCTCTGAAGCTGGTTCCAGGGCTAGCACTATGTGATACTGTGGGCTGTCTATGATCACTCTGCATACCCTGAAATTTAATGGAAATGCTGAGACAGTGAGACCCATCTAGTCAGTAAAGAAGAAATCCCAGATAGTTTCCAAAATGTGTGCTGTCCCACTGGAGCACTGCTTAAACAAAACCAGGCCTCCAGTGAGCAGATGCCCTGTTTACCTTGATGGTGTTGGACTCTTTTCAGAGGTGGTTTGATTTCCTCAGCAGGTGCATTGGTAACAGGAGAAATTAGTTGAACTGCTTTTTGTCTTCCCTGAGTTGAAATCAAACTGTGACAATAACAATGACCTCAGACAGTTTCTTCTCTGTGAGTCTCCATTATTCAACCTTAGGAGTGTAACTGGAGTGGAACAAAATGGATTTCCACTTGTTACGAGATAAAGAAGAAGAGAGAGGGGCTCATGCTGCTTGTAAGCCTGGAAGGATGGGCAGAACGGGGCACATCAGAGGGGGCCCCCATGTCTCCAGCTCTGGAAGTTGAGTCAATATGAAAAAACATTCAGGACAACTTCAAAGGGCTGGTGGGAGCTGGTTTGGAGATCTTATTGAAGATTGCAGTTATATAAAAAGGCTTGATCTCCATTTTCCACCAAGAAAAAAAAAAGATCTCATTGACCAAAGGTACAGCACTGAGAGGTAAACTGTGATGAAAGAAGGGAAGACCGATGGTGATGATGATGATGTTAGTGATAACAAATTAACATTTATTGAGCCACTAGTATTTTCCAGGCACAGTGCTAAGTGCTTCATGAGCAGTATCCCATATTGACCTTACCACAATTCTGTGAGGGAGGGTCTCTTTTTAGCCCTATTTTACATAAGAAGAAACTGCCGTTCTAAGAAGTTACAAGGCTATTAGGCAGTGTAGCTGGGATTTGAACCAAAATTATAGTTTATAGCTTGAATTCTTAATGACTGCCTAGAACCCAACTGATTAGTGCCGTCTACCCAAGTGGTTAGTAGCCGCATGACCCAGCCCTTCCTTTCCAGTTTAGGTGGGGAAATGAAATTGTAAATGTGCAGAACCCAGAGAGGTGTGTCTCATAAGAAGAGGCACAGTCTCACCTCCAAATCTGAGTTCTGGGAAGCGGGGGAGGGATTTGTAGTGACCACAATTGATGGACACGTTTATTTAAGACTTCTGTCCTGTCCAGCATGAAGCAGTGGAACCAGCTTCCCAGGCTCTGCTCTCAGCACTACAGAAACACGGGCCGATTCCCCATCCCTAAAGATGGCCCTGTCTATGGATGATAGATGTTCACATAAGATTTCTGTGTGATATGCTCTTTGATTTTTCTCCAGAAGCATTTCTAGTTCAGGGAAAAAAATAACAACGACAAGTCAATCACCAAGTCGAAATACAGTGGAATGCTAAGTTTAAGCCTGGGAAACATAAATACCCGAATGTTATTGAGAAATCTGGTTTCAAGGAAAACACCATTCACCCCAAAGATCAGTGAGTAACACATAACTTAAATAGCTTAAAGCTATGACGTTATGGAGAGTCAAATTTAGACCCTGCGCATATTTAGAAAGCAAATAGTTGCCATCATCCTTTTATTCTTGCCACTCAGTTTTGAGGAATAGTGATGTTCTAGCAATTCTAAGTCTGCTTGTGGCTGGAGGTCCATTACAGGCTAGGGTTTGTTATCTGGAACCTGAACTCCTTGGAAGAACACAAAACCAGTGTTAAGGCAGAGGAGGGGAGAGATGGTGATCTAGAAAGCTGTCCCCAGGGTCCAAGGCAGCACACTGCTCTTCAAATGACTTCTGCAGATGACCACAGGTTTCCGCTTACAATAAAGGCACTTTGGTGATAGGCTTGCAAACACCCACTGACGATGTCCTCCTAAATCCTCTGACAGCTCACTTCCTTTAAGCCTCTCTGCATACTATTTCCAACCTCAGCAGGGGGTTAAACTTAACTTCCTCTAACTTGAAGGTGAGCAGCTCATACCAAGAATTTTAATTTAGCCAGCTCTAAATGACTCCAAACTTGAACTTGGAACAAAGTCGTCCATCAGAACTTTTCTAATTAAAATGGCATAAATTAAAGCTTAAGGTCAAAATCAGAACCCGGTCACAGAAACCAAAACACAGACAGTGCCAAGTATTTTGACCTCCACACCATGCTGACCTGTACAAAGAGATTTTTGTTCAGCTGCAGTTTATCCTCTTAAAAAAATGGCAAAGCTCTATGTATCAAATCTGCTTACCTTTTAGGGAAAATATGAATATGAAAAAAACTGCTGCATGGAGTCCTAATTCAATAATTCCTGGGATTGATCTGATGTCCCATGGCATGCAGACAAAGAAATGGGTGTTTCAGCCCAGGAGCTCGCATCTAGCATGTGGTTTGTAGACGTGTTAGCCTACTTACTTAAAAGCACATGACTTGACTTGGGCAACAGAGGTGTGCGCCTAAACTTTCTTGAAGCCAAGTCGGCCCAACATCTATCACACCAGTGGTACTGAGTGGTGCCCCATCCAGCAAAAGCAGCATCCCATGGAAGGAGTTCAAAATCAAGGTCACAGGCCTCACTCCAGACCTACAGAATCAGAAGAGAGGGATGGAGCCCAGCGATCTGTCTTTTTGTTTAGTTCTTGAGATAGGGTCTTGCTCTGTTGCCCGGGCTGGAGTGCAAAGGTACCACCATAGCTCACTGCAGCCTTGAACTCCTGGGCTCAAACGATCCTCCCACCTCAGCCTCCCTAGTAGCTAGGTCTACAGGCATGCACCACCACACTTGGCTAACTTTTTTTTTTTTTTTTGGTAGAGATGAGATCTATGCTATGTTGTCCGGGCTGGTTTCAAACTCCTGGTGGTCTCAAATGATCTTCCTGCCTTGGCCTCCAAAAGCACTGAGATTACAGGCATGAACCACCATGCTCGGCCAAGCTCTGTTTTTCATAGATAAATATTCTGGTTAATTCTTGTTTGTGCCAAAGTTTTAGAACTATTGCACTATCCAGTGATGATGCATGGCCTTTGCTTAAATTAAGCTCTAAAGACAACTGGAGAAAAAATCCACCTCATTTTGGAATCAAAGAAAGGTAGTTGAAAAAAAAATATAGTGTTTGGGTAGGGCATAGCAAAACAAACAAACAAACAACAACAACAAAACCTACTGGTGAGTAAGAGATAGGAGAGATGTTTTTGACTGAGCACCATGAGTCATTTTGGGAGTAAAATGGGTTTTTTCCCTTGTCAAGAAATAGCATTTAAAAAATAAGAAAAATATAAGGCATCTGTTTTCTAAGAAAACTGACTAAAGCCAGGGTTATTTTCTGTTTCAACACTTTCGCTAGGTTATCAGTAAATTGCATGTACATTTCATGAACTTACCTATTGAAATCCTGTTCAGGATTCTGTTTCCTCAGAAAGAAGATAAAATATATCTCACGTGTTAGTGAGATTATTCCCATAAATATTCTC
This sequence comes from Homo sapiens, assembly GCF_000001405.40. Taxonomy (NCBI): domain Eukaryota; kingdom Metazoa; phylum Chordata; class Mammalia; order Primates; family Hominidae; genus Homo; species Homo sapiens. The sequence continues at coordinate 18,043,563 of NC_000010.11, read as the reverse complement.
TGTTAAATCTGTGAGAGTTTAGGCATTCATCTACTGCCTGACTCCAGTTTTGTTACTTTAAAAATTTTGAACTTCATCTTATGTTTCCAGCTCCCCTTGCCTGGAACAGATTTCATTTGACGACTTACATAGAAGAATGCTGACATGTTATCCTTTAGGTCTCCCAAAATGGCTTGTTCACAAGCGCTCTAGAGTCAGTGGGTGAACTATACATTGTTTTTTTAAGAGATGACTCAGAATCTGACATCCAGTAACAGAAGGTAATAAAAACCACCATATTAAAACTAGTCTTTATTACATTTGCTTGTCACTTAACTTGCTTATAGTTTATAATTGCACAGGGAAAAAAATTAACATCAAAAAGTTGCAGTTGATTTTACTCCAACAGGCATCTGTCCACTTTAAATTCTACAAACATTCTTTCTTAGGGAAAAAATCTATTTTTTAAAGTTTACTAAAATTCATGCAGAATTTACTAACTACTTTTTAAAAAGCAAGAGCTTCATCATGGTGTTGGAAACCAAAGACAAAATTTCAATTAAGGACAGTCTGATATTTATATGTTTCCAAAAATAAAACTGCATTATAAAATTAATAAGTTAATGAATTGAAAGAGACACACTTTGCCTAAGATAAAAAATTCTTAATTTAAAAATCATTATAGAGTGCAATGAAAGAAACAAAGTAAGACTATATAAATGCATTTTTGAAAGATGTTGAAGATCCTCACTTATATTTTAATATTTTGCTCATATATAGCCAAGAGCAGGAGAGAAAGCCAACCTAGGATCAATCCAAAGTTTTGCAGGAGAAACATCATCCAGGGTCGTTGTGTTTGAACATGAGTCATTTCAGGAAGCTAAAAAAAGAATAAAAAACCAGAATAAGATCCAGATATATTCAACTGCTGGGAAAAGCTTGGTGGGAAAACATGAGCGACTGTTATTCAGAACTTAATAACCTTTAAAATTCCCAAAACAGTTACAAAATGCTGAATACCTACTCTACCATGTCTTTGAAATGTAAGCTAAAAGTAAGCCATTTGATTGTGGTTATGAGGATCCCAGGATTGGCAAAGTCTTTTTTTTTTTTTTTTTTTTCTTTTGAGGCAGGGTCTTTGCCCTGTCACCCAGGCTGGAGTGCAATGGCTGCGATCACATTTCACAGCAACCTCCTGGGCTCCAGCAATCCTCTCACCTCAGCCTTCCAGGTGCGTGCCATTGCACCCAGCTAATTTTTGCATTTTTTTGTAGAGATGGGGTTTCCCTGTATTGCCCAGGCAGGTCTCAAGCTCCTGGGCTCAAGCAACCTGCATGTTGCGGCCTCCCAAAGTGCTGGGGCTTATAGGCGTGAGCCACTGCACCTGGCCTTTGGTAGAAGTCTTAAAATGACATAGTTACCAACCAAAAACAAACCCAACTCTTACTTTTCAGAAAATGTTTAAATGTGAAGTAAATAATGCATCAAAATTATTATTTTGGACTGTTCTATTAGGCTTATAGAACTACTATATGCACAGGTTGATGTAAGGCATATATACATATTATGGGAGGAGGGAGGAAGAAAAGGAGAGAGAGAGAGCGATGACTAAGATCCTCCTGATCTTTAGAACAGTAAGGACATTATCTCCTGTGGCTACATATATATATGTATACATATATACATATACATATATGTGTGTATATATATACATATACATATGTATGTACATATATATACGTATACATATGTATGTACATACATATACGTATACATATGTATATACATATAGACACATATGTATATACATATGTATACATATGTATACACATATATACATGTATATACATATATACACATATATACATATGTATATACATATATATACACATATATACATATGTATATACATATATATACACATATATACATATGTATATACATATATATACACATATATACATATGTATATACATATATATACACATATATATGGTGTGTGTATGTATGTGTGTGTGTATGTGTGCGTGTGTGTGTGTGTGTGTGTGTATATATATACATATATATATATATAAAGTTTTTTTTTTTTGAGACAGAGTCTCACTCTGTCACCCAGGCTGGAGTGCAGTGGTGGGATCTCAGCTTACTGCAATGTCTGCCTCCCGGGTTCAAGCAATTCTCCTGCCTCAGCCTCCTGAGTAGCTAGGACTACAGGCATGTGCTGCCACACTCGGCTAATTTTTGTATGTTTTGGTAAAGACAGAGTTTCACTGTGTTGACCAGGCTGTCCTGTGGCTATATTTTATTCTCAGAGAAACACATGGCAACTATTTCATGTTTGTGAAATGGCCTAACACCATTTAGAGGGAAGGGTTCACTCACGCATCTGTGTGAAGTGCCCCAAGGTGTATTTGTCTCAAATTATTTCAAAGCCCTCACCCTGAGAAGGTCAGAGCAAGCATACCTCTTTCATTACACAGTCATTTCCATTGGGACACAGGCTCGTGTCAACAAGGATTGGAGATTTAACTCAATCTTGCCATTTTGGGCCAGATCATCCTTCATTGTGAGACCCCTCTCCTGTCCATTAGAAGATGTTGTAGCAGTATCTATGGCTCCTACTAGATGTCAGCTGTGTCTCTGCCCACAATCATGGCAAGCAAAAATGCCTCCAGACACAGTCAAATTTTCTCTGGGGGATAAAAATCACCTCCAGTAGAGAACGACTCAGATTATTTTATCGATCAAATGAATGATCAAGGACTTTAGGTTTATGGCAATAGAAAATGGCTTGACACTTTTTTTTTTTTTTTTTGAGATGGAGTTTCACTCTTATCGCCTAGGCTGGAGTACAGTGGCATGATCTCGGCTCACTGCAACCTCTGCCTCCTGGGTTATGGCGATTCTCCTACCTCAGCCTCCCGAGTAGCTGGAACTATAGGCATCCACCACCATGCTTGGCTAATTTTGTATTTTTAGTAGAGACAGGGTTTCTTCATGTTGGCCAGGCTAGTCTTGAACTCCTGACCTCAGGTGATCCACCTGCCTTGGCCTCCTAAAGTGCTGGGATTACAGGCATGAGCCACCATGCCTGGCCAGGTTGACACATTTTTAAGTACATGGAGAGGAGCACCCTGAATGCTCTGTTTGAGATATTTCTTCATCTTAGGTAGTTATTTCAATGGCATGAGGGTGGTTTACTATGACCTGCCATCTCACATCCCGGCATGGAGCAATGGACTCAAAGACAAAGTAGGATCCAGAACTGCTCTCCTGGGTGG